>NC_000011.10:124142121-124445151 GCF_000001405.40 Homo sapiens | reverse complement strand
TTTTTGCTGAGACTAGGAGACTAGAGATGGGTATAGGAAGAGAAAATGGGAGGCTGTAAAGAAACCCTTACCTGATTTTGGAATTTGGCTTTTGTGGTGTGATAGAATGTGGATATTTGAAAAATAGGCATTGGTGGTAGGACAGGAAGTAGGGACAGGGTAATATACTCAAGGGCCTGATGTTGTCTGTGGATTGGGTTATGTTGGAGAGACAGGCCTTAAAGTTTGAAGAGTGTATTGTTCCCAGGCTCTTCTCACTCTTGTCAGCTGTCTCCTCTGCCCTATGGCAGACCCTCTCTTGTCTCTTTCAGGCTCATTCAGCTTTAAGCAAGATTTTTCCTTCCCTCATGCCATCCCTAGGATATATGCATTTCATATTTGTTTTATGTCTATTTTCTACAGCATTTATCAGGGCTCTTTCTTTTGTCAACCACTCTTCTCGGCTCTTCCACTTTCATGATTTAATTTAACTCTCACAACAACGACACTGTGAATTATCGCCATCATCCCCATTTTATAGATGAGGAGATTGAGAATTAGAGATTAATGAACATTTTGTGAGCTATATGATTCAAAGATATAAAAGTGAATAAAACTACAATGTTGCTAGCATCATTATAGTTCATGGAGGGACAGGACAGTAATACATTGTGAGTAGAGCTGCAAGAGATCTAAGAACAAAGTACTGTAGGATTTGTCGTGGCTAATCCCTATTAAGGTGTGAGCCGATAATTATTTGAGATTACTCCTTCTGGCATTTAGGTGTTTTGATAGGTCATGCTCAAGACATAAAAATTCTCTGAAACATGGTACTGAATAATTTCAGGTCCTTGATGAATTTACTGATGCATATTTAGTTTCTTGTCCTGGAATCAAAGAGACTTGGGTGAGGATGCTTCCTCCCAGGTGGAGTAAGGAACATTTTGTTGAAACCTGATCCGAATACTGTTTTAGGAGTACCTTAGCTGGGATTTCCATAAAAAGCTGTGCTGGGGACAAGGCCATACATGCAGATAGCTTATTTTTAGAAGTCATCCCAGGGAAAAGAGAGAGAGAAAAACAGGGAAGTATAGAAAACCAATAAAAGGTTCTGTTATATGTTACCTTAATGGGGAATTTAGGATTAGTTCCTCTGAGATCTTTTGATGTACTAAGAAGAATGAACCACTGGAGATACACAAAAGGGAGACATTTACCCACTGACTCCCAGGGGTGTTAATTCCTTCACGCTTACAGATCAGCACGTGCACCATAATGGCTGAATGGATTCTCAGATGTACCACTTTGTGGTGGCAGAGGTGTCCTAGGGCTGAAAGGAGGGGATACGTAGTGTAGTCAAGAAACATTGTTATTGGGCTATAGCTGGATGCAGCTCACTGCCACAGCAACAGCAGAAGCCCAAAAGATAGGCTGAGTAATATAAAATGAGGCATAAAACATGTGCAACACAGAGAGCTTGGTGATGGGACCTGAACTCAGACCTGGTGAAAATATTCAGGATAGTAGGCAGAGAACAACACAGCTAGAAGACAGGGCCAGCGTTATGTGACTTGTCATGTGCTAAAAAGCTTAGAAAGGCCTTTTGCTCCATTTACCTGCTACTTGTTTTGAAAATTCATCCTTTATCTTATTGCTGGTGCTTTGAGCTATGGCATCGTGTCTGAATTACACATTAAACATAGCATTTGGGGGGAACATGGCATCAAGTCATCAACACCCAGTAGCCCAATAGACTAATTGGCCTCCCTCCCCACAACTCTGACCATGTCACTCTCATATTCAATATATTCCATGGATTCACATTGCATACGTAATTCCTGTCATGACGTTCAAGTCTCTCCACAGCAGGAACCTGGGATGCTATTCCAGGGTTGATGCACAACTATATCCCTCCCTGTACTCTACATTCCAGCCGAACTAAAGGCCAGGTGAACTTCCTCCAGACAATGTAACTGGAAAGACTGGAGACCCAAGTTTTATTCTGGACTTCACCACCAACCAACTCTGACTGGTGGACTTCAATTTTCCTGTCTAGAAAACGTAGGGTAGATAGAGTATTAGGGCATTGAATCCCAAACCTGCCTAAACATCCAGATCAATAGGGTGAAACCTGTCTAAATATCCAGATCAATAGGGTGAGAAATATAAGTTATAAAATCCCACCCCTGGAGATTCTAATTTATGATGCCTGGCTTGGGGCAGCAGGATCTGTACTTTTAATAAGCATATAGTTATCTAATTCATTTGCACAGCCAGGTTTATGAACCACAGGATTAGATGATTTTTAAATATTGATTCAAATTTATGGGGCTCCAAGAATGATAACTAGCTGTCACTGAGCTCAAGCAAGGCTCTGAGAGGCTAGAACACAGAAGGGATGACTTTTGTCACGAGAGAGGGGAGTTATGAAAAGAACAAAGCAAGCAAAACGAGAAAGCAAATATCCCGTGGGAAGAAGGAGAATCAAGCTACAAGGCCTTCAGGCTCACGATGAGGAAAGCTGAAAATAACACTGGAAAGAACAACGATAGAGGACAGGGGCCATCTAGGGGAATCCCAACAAGTTAGCAATTTTGGAAAAAACTCTTAACCAATCGAGATTGATTTTTACTGTCAAGCTCAAATTCCAAGAAAAGACAGATTGGTTTGTCTTCTGGACTGGGTATTGTGCAGCTCAGCAATGAACTGAAATATAAGTGATAGGTTGAATGTCCTCCATCAGAGTGGCATAACATTTTGTTTTTGCCTTTTCTGGATCTTATCACATGCTTTTGCTTAGTTATGTGTGTTCTAGTGTCTTTTTCAAGACATGGTCAGAGTCTTGAAGGCAAGAACTGGGCTTTACATACTTCATTATCTTCTATAGAGAGGTGTTAAACTCAGTTATTAAGAACACCAAATCTGGAGTAAGATGCACCTAGTTTTAATATGGCCTTTGTAACTTAACATTTGGGGAGTTACTTCATCTCTAAAATGAGGGTGATAAAACCCAGCTCATAGAATTTGGGGTAGAATTAAAATGAAAAATTATATGAAAAATGGTATTGGATCCTGGCATGCTGAGGTCAGTGCATAATGCTAGGAAAAAAAAGGATTAGGTATACATTAAGTGCTCAATAAATGGTAAATTATTGTTTTTGCACAATGCTTTGCATATTTCCGAGTAGATGTTAATTGAACAAATATTTTCATGTTTCTAAAAGCCCATTCAAATATTATCAAGGGTATGAGCACAACTTTGTTATATCCAGGTCTGTGATCCCAGGGGAACTTCTGCTGCTCTACTTCTAATCAGTTCCCCAGATATCCAAACTCAGAATAAAACTGCTCAGTCTCCTGTCATTGGCTGTCACTGATAATGGTAAGGATGCTGTCGCCTTTCTGCAAGCTGGAGGAAGGCCTCAGGGCACAGCCTCCATCAGATGTCACGTACTGTAGCTCAGAAAGAGTTCTGAGGCAGCCGAGGCTCCAGTGCTGCCATCGGGATAGGGCCTAGCGGGCTGGTGCTTAGTCTTTCATCTGTGATAGCTCCGCAGCCAATCTGTCTGAACAAGTGAAGATAAGAGCTGGACCTAAAGGCACATCACTGAAACTCTGGGCTGAAGAGGATGAGAGGCTGAATCCGGATGAGCAGTCCGAACTTTTCCCGAGTCCCCAGTCTCAGGTACTAAAGCTCTGGGAAGTCCACTCTACCCTTCTGCTCTGTCCAGGATGACCCTAACCCTAACTCTCCAGGCACAGGCGGGCTGGGTCCGGCCTCTAAGAGGACTCTTCCTGGAGACTGGCCCCAGTTTCTGTAAACTTAAGTAGAAACTGGAGTTGAAAGGGCGCAACAAAGGGATCAAAGTAAAGATGGGAGGCCTTGCCAGCAGCACCTGCCCTGGCCATGGAGGCGGGGCTTGCTCCAGAGGGAGCCGCAGCAAAGCCCCCTCTGCTGAAGTTCAAAATCTCTCTGTGTGCCTCCTATTCTCAAGAAGGAAGGAGGGATGACTGGGAGGGCAGCAGTGGTCTCTCTCTCTCTCTAAATAACTTTTTCCCTTGTCCCCACAGAATGCCTTAAATGACAATGGCTGCTGAGAATTCCTCCTTCGTGACACAGTTTATCCTCGCAGGCTTAACTGACCAACCGGGAGTCCAGATCCCCCTCTTCTTCCTGTTTCTAGGCTTCTACGTGGTCACTGTGGTGGGGAACCTGGGCTTGATAACCCTGATAAGGCTCAACTCTCACTTGCACACCCCTATGTACTTCTTCCTCTATAACTTGTCCTTCATAGATTTCTGCTATTCCAGTGTTATCACTCCCAAAATGCTGATGAGCTTTGTCTTAAAGAAGAACAGCATCTCCTACGCAGGGTGTATGACTCAGCTCTTCTTCTTTCTTTTCTTTGTTGTCTCTGAGTCCTTCATCCTGTCAGCAATGGCGTATGACCGCTATGTGGCCATCTGTAACCCACTGTTGTACATGGTCACCATGTCTCCCCAGGTGTGTTTTCTCCTTTTGTTGGGTGTCTATGGGATGGGGTTTGCTGGGGCCATGGCCCACACAGCGTGCATGATGGGTGTGACCTTCTGTGCCAATAACCTTGTCAACCACTACATGTGTGACATCCTTCCCCTTCTTGAGTGTGCTTGCACCAGCACCTATGTGAATGAGCTTGTAGTGTTTGTTGTTGTGGGCATTGATATTGGTGTGCCCACAGTCACCATCTTCATTTCCTATGCTCTCATTCTCTCCAGCATCTTCCACATTGATTCCACGGAGGGCAGGTCCAAAGCCTTCAGCACCTGCAGCTCCCACATAATTGCAGTTTCTCTGTTCTTTGGGTCAGGAGCATTCATGTACCTCAAACCCTTTTCTCTTTTAGCTATGAACCAGGGCAAGGTGTCTTCCCTATTCTATACCACTGTGGTGCCCATGCTCAACCCATTAATTTATAGCCTGAGGAATAAGGACGTCAAAGTTGCTCTAAAGAAAATCTTGAACAAAAATGCATTCTCCTGAGAAAAGGGCAATGCTCAGGAAAGAAACACTGTTTCTCCCATAAGTGATTTGGACTCCACTGGTTACATGGAAGAAATATAATTTTTCCTCAAACAGGTTCATCATCCCCATTTTAAGGGTTCTTTAATTTACAAACATTCTTAAGAGCTTTGAATACTCACACAGTAAGTCTTGAGGATCATTTCACTCAGTTCCCCGCTATTTCTGAGGATAGACTCAAGCTTATGTACCTTCCCCGAGGTCGCTCAGCTGCTCAGCAGTGGAACTGCGACTAAAATCCAGGCTCTTTATTTCCAGTACTGGCTGCTTTTCATTATGGCTCACTTTCTTCCTCCCTCAGCCTCTGGAAGATTTCATTTCAAATGTGAGCTGGCCTAGGATGTTAAAATCTGATTCTGTCCTCAGAAATTACATGCAACTTTTCAAAGGCTAATTTTAAATGTCGCATTTTTGCAAGTAGGTAGGAAGTATATAGAATTTTTTGTTGAGATGGCCTTGGCCAAATGACCAGGGAAATTCTTGAAGCATTTTGAAGAAGGTGCAGGGGAAGTGTGTTAGGACCCAGGGAGCAGCATGTATGGTACCTCTTAAGACAGTGGGGTGGAGCTTCAGGGACTTGGACTTGAAGGGTTTTAGTGATGCTGGGTGGAAGAACTTATAGAAAATGTCAAGGTTATGAAGAACAGAATTTGGGAATTATTTCACATGCAATCACATACAATCATTGCCCTGTTTTCAAAAGTCAAGATGGGGACCAAATGCAGTGGCTCATGCATGTACTCTCAGCTACTCAGGAGACTGAGGGAGGAAAATCGCTTGAACCCAGGAGGTGGAGGTTGCAGCGAGCCAAGATCATGCCACTGCACTCCAGCCTGGGCAATGGAGCAAGACTCCATCTAAACAACAACAACAACAAAAAAACTTCAAGATGGAGAAGTCCACCGCCTAGGGTGGTCAGTTATGGATCTGGAGAATATTTCAGAACCACAGAGAGCCTTGTGTTACAAGTCAGTAGTCAGGTGAGATCCACACAGCAGTCAGTCAGTGGAGGGAATGACCACTGAATGGTATAATGCTGCATGCAGCAGAAACCATGTGGGGTACTTTTTGCATGGTTTCACAGATCAACTTTCTGCCCCTTGGCGCCTCACGCCGAATCCTGGGAGGTATTCCTTAACTGGTCCCCTTGCCCTCTGGTTTCAGTTGGGTTAGACCAATGGCAACATCAGCAGAGGAAATCAGAGGGTAGGAGGAGTGTGATATTATGCTATTTATTTCCCTGACTTCCTCCTAGCTGGGCAACAGTGGCAGTAACTGAATGCCTCATTTCTTACTGGGTTATAATAACTGCCCCCTCCCTCGTCTCTTCATGCCAAGGAGTGATAATGTCTCCCTGCTGTTGCTAACCCAGAGAGCTTGACCATCTCTTTGTGGTTTCTCTCAACCACTTTTGCTTAAACAAATGCAGATAGTTTCTTTATTGTATTTTCAATTACTGTATTTATGTGGATCATCTGATTTTTGCAGAAACCCTGACTGCTGCACCTTCCAATAAAGGGTGGGAGAAATGATATGGCTCAGGTTTATAAGCCCACAGCCTAATGGTACTGTATAAAGGAAGGTAGAGTAGCTTTTCAGTTTAAAAAGATTATAAATAGTAGATTTCTTTGTGAAACAATGATATGTGAAATGCTGTGAAAATGTGTTGACTTACGAGTCTCTCTTTAGGAAGATTCTCTTCTATTTAGAAAAAGTAAAGTTTGGATGGATGTAGAGTGTTGCCCTTTGGGATGGTGCAGATTAATAAGGGTGAATTCAAAAGAATGAGGGATTGTGTCTTGGACAGCATGGACTAGATAAACAACACAGAATTTAGCTGACTATGGGATTGAGAGGGGCAGAGCAGCATAAAGACTCAAAAAGAGCAGAGCCCAGAGAGTTGGATGGTAGAATCAAATTTGAACCTGAGCTTCTCCTCAGCTGTGTTGCCTTTAGCATTACATGATGTCTCTGAACATCAATTTCTTCATCTTTAAAAACGTTTTTCTCAGAGGTATTAAGTGAATTAGATGCCAGATTCTCGGTAAATTTGTTTCTGTCCCTGCCAGATCCTTTTCCTTTTAATATCAGCACTTGCACTAATTTATTATGTGACCTTGGGACAATTGCTTCATTTTTCTGGGTCTATGCTTGCTTATATGAAAATGATCATGTTCTATCAGATTATTTCTACATTCCATTTACAAGATATATTTATTTATATATTGACCAGATAATACATTTGCTATAGGCTGAACACTTGTGTCCCCTCAGAATCAGATTTTGAAATGACGGATGTTGAAAGGAGGTGGGGTCTTTGGGAGGTGATTAGGTAATGAGGGTGGGGCCCTCATGAATGAGGTTAGTGTCCTTATAAAAGAGTCCTGAGGCTGGGTGCGGTGGCTCACGCCTGTAATCCCAGCACGCACGCACGCGCGCGCGCACACACACACACACACACACACACACACACACACACACACAAAGTCTGAGAGAGACCTCCCCCACCTCTTCTACCATGTAAGAACAAAACAAGAAGGCTCTGTCTATGAGGCAGAAAGCGGGCTCTCACCAGACACGGAATCTGCTGCTGCCTTAATCTTGGACTTCTCAGCCTCTGGAACCATGAGAAATAAATTCCTGCTGTTTAAAAGCCACCTGGTGTGTAGTTTTGTTACAGTGGGCTGAACAGACTAAGACAATGTTTATGATATTAAAACTAGTACCAAAGAATAATCAGTGAAAGGAAGCCTCCTTTTACTTCAGTTTTCTTGTCATGCAGTCCTCTTCTTTTCTAGGGGTTATCATCGTTGCCTGTTAGCTGTATATTTTTACATAGTCACTACATGTACAAGTTGTGTGTGCCTGCACATACATACACACAGTTTTTTAATTTGTTTCCAAAGTCATGAAAACCTACTTTGAAATATATCCAGTATGAAAATTAATTAGAAGAGGAATGAATTAGGGTTTGTTACTAAGATAAATAAATGGAGAGAAAAGCCTACAAATGTATATGAAGGGTTGTGGTTAGGAAAAAAGTGGGGGGAGAGAAAGTAATGATGTGAAAACAGGGAGCTTTAGCTCTGGCTGAAAAAGTGTACACCCCAAGAAAGACACAGCCCACAGCAAGAATGTGTTCGTTCTGATCTATTGCCTCCAACTCAATTTTCAAGATTGCACAAAATTCCATCCTATGGATGTATTAAACGTAATTAACAATTTTCTACTACTATACATTAGGTTATTTCCATTTTTCCAAATTATAAATAATACTTGTTTAACACACTTACTCAGCAACTCTTTGAGTTTTCCCCATACTTTGGATACATTCCTAGACAGAGACTGAATGAATTGCACAAGATTCTTGAATTTGGTTGCAAAAATCCTTCTTGAAAGTTTAACTCAATGTGCACTCTCATTACCAGAATAAACATATCTGGAAAATCCACTCTTGGCCAGGTTCTGTCCTAGTCAGGGCACTGCTCATAGGAACATGTTACTTTTAGTTTTGGTGATGATAGTGTTTATATTATTGTCTCCTCCTTTTTACATCTTTTTTCCTCCTACTTTATTTCATCAACGACTTGTATCTGGATCGATAAAGAAAACAGGGAGCAACACTGAAAATGTTTTTTTTCCTTCTACATTTCCTTCCATATAAACTCGCCTTATTTCTTAAACGGCTTTTTCTTGGCTTGACCATATTTCTGGTGATCAGTTTAATCAGAGGAAGGGCAGACACCCTTGGCTTTTGAGGTAATGTATAAATATGAGGTCTCCTTCTGGAATATCTTCCTCCTGTCTTCCTCTTGGGTTTCAGTGCTGCTTCTCTGTGCTTTCACAGCACATGGCACATAACCTAGTAAGTGCCAGACCATGTGGGACTGTTGCTTACTTTTCCATATCCACTTCCACCACAAATTAGACTGTGAGTGTTGTACAGGCAAGGTCCCCGGTGTCTATTTTGCTATATCCTCCATACCTAGCACAGTGTCTGGCACATATAGAGTAGGAATTTAGCAAATATTTATTGGATACAAGAATGGAGTGTCTAGCAGTTTTAGAAGCTGCCTTACTAAAGAGGCTTTCCTGTTTTCATCCTTCTGGCGACACATTCCTTTCTTTCACCACATTGATGAACATATGTCCATCACCCTGGTCCCCTCATCATATTCTTCCTGTTCACTCAAGATCTCCAACTTTAGGCTCATGTCACCTGGAGGCTGTAGTAGAAACTAGTCCCTCCCTTAGTTTTGTAAATCTCAACTTTCCGCCCCTTTATATGGTAAAATGTATAGCATAATATAAAATAGGTGACTTAAGCTCTAAATCTTTATTCAATTGAACATGTGGCTTTGAAGGATTTTATAAAATATCAGCAATTGAGCATTCATTTTGTACTCTCCATTTAAATTGATATTCCAGCGATAACACATAGAAGAAAAATTTGCATGATGAGAAAATGAATCATTCACGCATGGAGCTCTCATTTTCCTCAGAATACTTGCCTGAACACTCGCCTTGAAAAGATGAATATACTTAGAAAAAAGCCACCAAGACCATAGCCTGATTCATCTTTGCTGTCTTTGCAGGGCACAATACTGCTTTCTCAGAACAAATCTTCCTCCTTTTTTAAAAAGAAATTCTCACAAATGAGTATGTTTTATGTCTTCCCAGAATTGCTTCTGGGACATTTGATAATACAGAGTTTTTTTGTAACTAAGTTCCTCAGTCATTTGAATGGCAAAGACTGCCACTTTTTCTTTTGCAATTCACAGTACATTATAGGGAGATGTTTTGAGACTATGCCAATATTTTGTTCCTTTTCAAACTTTCACACCTTGGTTTTAGCATCTATTAATGATCAGTTATTGCCTGAATCAATTATTACTCTAATGCCTAAAAAATGAAGATTTTCTAATTCCATCAGTCTTCCTTTATTTGTTAGTGGGCCTTCTGTTAAGAGCTGTTTCTTCTCATCAGTTTGTTCATTCATTTATGTCATTATGGACTCATGCTTTCTAATTTTATCTAATTGGTTATGATTCATTATCATCATTGTTTACTCTGATGCTCAATTTGTCCCTGACTTGGCCAGTGGAAGCCACTTCACACTGATTTCTGTGTCCTTTTAATATAGCACCATCAGATTTTGAGCACTTTATCACTGTCTGGCAAAATGGTACATTTCAGGTTCTTGCTGCCCGTTCCCTGCCCAGCATTGGTTCTGTTTAGAGACTGATGGCATTTACAACTAAGAGATGAGTGGAAGGTGAGATGAGCTATATTTAATGTCATTCTGTGCGCAGATATTCAATGGAAGAACATTCATGTCTGTAAAATAGCATTTACATATTTGTCCCTCTGAATACACCTGTCTATGGGCAAATAATGGACTTGCTGTCTGTGAATGGGCCAAAACTCTGTGGCCAAAGCCAGTGATTCCTAAGTGTCACTTGTGGCCCTTTTCTTACCACTTTTTACCTCCTCACATGACAGCTTCTTCCAGTTCCTATGAGTAACTGATTGGACTAGATGAGAAGAAAATCACCCTGAGGTGGAAGAAAAAAAGCCCTGAGACTTTTACCCACACAATTTGGTTGTAAATGCCATTCTGTCTGGCCTCCTTAAAGACATGACTACTTGTCCCATTTGCTTCTTTCATTCTTGTAATATTTTGCAATATCTTCCTTTCCTGCTTCTTCCCTTTTTAAAAATTTTCCATACTACCCTGATCTGAGAATGAATGTGGACATATAGATAATAATTTAATATTCAAGGGACATGAGTTCTTCAAACCCTAATAATAACATTTTTGAGACTTTATTTGTCTTATGAACTTTAGATACAAGTTCTCATTTAATCTCCTGTACAAATGTGTGAGATAATTGTCCCTGTTTTATAAATGGGCAAACCGAGGCTGTAAAAAGTTAAGGTACTTGCTTAAGATTGCACAGATAGTCAGTGGTGGAGTAAAGAATTGAATTTAGACTGCAGGACTCTAGAATCGCCCACACTTTCAACACTAGCTGCCTTCCAGAAGGCTCAGTCTGGGTGTGCAAGAAGGAGCACGTGTGATGCATATATATTTTCACCTTGTACAAAGTCCAAATTCTTGCTGCCTTTGAGCTGAACAAGTCCCTACATTCACTCTCAGTTGAAACAATTTGTCAAAAAATATGCTAAGATAAAGACATTGAAGATTTTTCTCCTTATTTAATGCACTGAGCATTAGCTCAGTCATTATTATTAGGGATCAGTAATATAAACATATCTGAGACCTACTGATCTACTGTTATATGGATTATGCAATAGTGTATTTAGAAAATGTTTATCGAGGTTATATTCCCAACTTCAGCCAGGTGATAATGCCTGCTAGATATAGAAGATGCTAAATACACTTTGAAGAAATCCTTAAACCTTAAAATACTGAAATTATGTGGTATTTTTTAATTTTTAAAAATTATTTTTCTTAAATTTGCAAAAGCCATGTTTTACTATTGTAGGACTATGTGACATAAGGAATATGTAGCAATAAGCAAAAGCTTTAAAAAAATTCCACAATCCTGGCACCTAAATATGACCACTTTTAGCATTTTGGTGTATATTTTTCTGGGTATGTCTGTGTAGTTGTAATGGCAAAGACCAGTTTGCAAAAACTATATATATATATACACACACACACACACACACACACACACACACACACATACACACACACATACACATACACACAGACACACACACACACACACATACACACACACATACACACACATACACATACACACACATACACACATACACACATATATACAAAGATATGATCATGTTAAGTTCCCTTTTGCAATTTTCTTTTTTTTTAATTGACTTTTAAATTTTGTGTAGAGATGGAGTCTCACTATGTTGCCAAGGCTGGTCTTGAACTCTGGGCCTCAAGTGATCCTCTCGCCTTGGTCTCTGAAAGTGTTGGGATTATAGGCATTAGCAACTGCACCTGACCCGCAATTTTATTTTCATTGTGTAAAATGTTGTAAACAGCTTTCTGTATTATTAAATATATATACCAAAATTATGGTTTTTACTTTGTTGTGTTTATAGCTATCAGGTCAGTAGAAAGACAAATGTTTCTATTTGCCTCACAGAAAGCATAGTTTCCTTCTTTGCAAAGAACTTTGTAACAGTGACATTTCATCTGATGATCCTAAATTCCTTTTCTAAATTCTAAAAGTAGCTTTCCCTTTCTTATCCTGAGGTGTCAAATTCTGCATATCCCTTGCACCATTCTAGTTCGGGTTTCTTGTCTCCAGTCCCATCTGTCTCATTTCTAAAAGCCAGAAGGCCAGCTTGGTGATGTCAGCACTCTCCCATCTTGCTCACCATTGACCACAGTCAAGTCCAAATGGTGGTAACAACAGATCTGGGCCCAAACTGTGATTCTGGTCTCCTTTATGCTTTGCACCTCGCATTCTCTACAGCATGCGGGGCTTTCTGTCCCAGAAGGTAAATCAGGAAGCTGCTGAGAGAGAGGAGTGATTTATAGGACTGATGAGAAATTGGGAGAATGGACTTGTGGTTCAGGGTGGCCCAGCCTTCTTCCTACAGACCCTTTCCCTCTTTTTTCCTAGTTGGATAGGTATGTTCTCAGGGCCCCCACTCATCTCTTGCATTTGAAACCTTTCTCCTTTGTAGTGAAGACAACTGTTGTCCAGCTCAGTTTAGATCTAAATTCACAAGTTTAATCTATGGTGTGCACTGAGAGAATTACAAGGTCCTATTGCACATCCAAGCTGGGTTTTCCAATTAACTTTATCAGCAATAAAGCTGGCATTTTTTTTCCTGTGTGACTGCTGTCTCTATTTTTTCAATTGATTCTGGACTCAGACAGAAAGGGATATGATTAATTATGTCAACCTAAGATAATCAAAAGGGTCAGAATCTAATTTAAGGAAAGCTCATTAAAATGGAAAGTATGAGGGCATGGTCCAGGGAGCAGAGCTACACCAAAGAATGGTGATCTGTGCTCCTGGTGTGGTGAAAAATAAGGAAAATTTATACAGAAGAAAACGGAGGTGCTGAATAGGTTACACTTCCCATGCAAAGGCAACATACAGATATAAGATTTGATTGACTACTATTGGTTCCACTCTAAGGGGATTTTTTTACGTGTTATTGTAAAGAGGTAACAGTCACAAGGGTCTCTATTTCCAGTGTCATTTAGTCTAGTTTGAATAAAGAACAGGGAGTTTAGTTACCGTATAACATCTCAACACAAAAGTCAGAAAGCAACAGTCATGCGGCAGAGAAGAAAAACAGTCATGTTAACATGAGTGAGTCAGCTTTCAGGGCTTAACTTTTCCCCTTAGCATAACGAATCTGGAAGGTACTGACATTTTATTTTCTTTCTACATTTCTCATCATTAACCCGGTCCACAATTTCCAACCCCTCCTTGCCCTGTATACAGCTGTTCTGTTCTCTATGTCGCTTGGCACTCCTAAAATTTGCAGTGTTTTTTTCCTTTATAACCTTTTCTGTTTCCTTTTGTGGTTCCTTTTGCTCAGAATGCTTTCCTGATTTTCTCTGCTGGTAACCTTCTACTTGTTATTCAAGACTAATAGCAATACATTTCTAAAACTATGTCATAAAGCAGATTGTGAATTTCCATAGTAACAATATAATAACTGGAGATGTTCTGAATAAAGATTTAGTATAAAATAACCTGTTATAAAATTAAAGATATACTTTCTATAATGGCTTATAATAATTTTTAAGAGCAAAATTGTTCTCACATTTTACAAGATGTGCGAAAAGTTATTCCAGGTATTGATTTTATAAAGGATCTCCAAGCCAATAAAGTGAATGTAGAGCATATGAAAAAGCAGAACACCATCATAACATTGACTAATGTAAACTTACACTAGCTATCATTCATCAATAAAAGTAGTTATTGAGCCATGATCTTCCTTAGATGTTGAACATCATCTTTTTATTTTATTTACATATGGCCCACATTCCATTAAAAAACCTGGCCAGATAATTCGTTAAATGCATTTCTGTTTAGCCAGCAAAGAAGCTTATATTCATTCCACTGACAAGCATAATTTAGCTTATTTAGAAAAAAAAGGAATCATTGAAGAATCGAAGGTTTTAAGAACTTTCTTGCAAGAGTATGAAGAATAGCAGTCTTTGGAAACTGGGATGCTTGTTTACTTTATTTTCCAAACCACATCCAAACATATCCCTGGAAGGGGAAAATCATTAAAAATAGACCAAAACTTTGAGGAGGGTTTGTCACACTCTGTGCAGATGATTGTGGGGCGTGTGCTTATCCCGACATAGGGAGATGAAAAAATTGCCCCACAGCCTGCGATGCTTTCCCTGTCTCTACTCCTTTCCCACAGACCCCTTAGCCACCAGTCCCTATTTCAGTAGACAGAGATCTTAGCTGCAAGAAGCAGTTGATTCTGGTTAACTTTAGCAAAAAAGGGAGCTCATTAGCAATAAATGGGGTAGTTCATAGAATCTTAGAACAGGCTAGGGAACTAGTTTTTGGAGCCAGACAGGTGGAATCTCAGCCAAGTTATACCACACAACTATCTGGTTAGGCTGCACCGATTGTTCATGTTGGCACCACTAGTACCTAACATTTTTATTGATTGGTAGATTTTTGTTTTTGATTTTGCAAAAATGAAATATAAATTGCTCCTGTTTTTTTTCTGTCACTCACCCCAAACTGAAGAGTTCTGCCTGGGAACATCTGACTGGCTGAGCTAGCTCTGATGTTCTCTGGGGTGCTTTCACAGAAGGAGGCTGGGTCCTTGCTTCAGCCAAGGCTCACACAGGGGCAGAGTCCTCAATTTGGAAGGAATTCCAATGCTGGACAGTCACAAACAAACAGCTATACATTTTTAAATGTCTACTTAAATTTAGCTTTAAAACTGAATTTCACTTCTTTAGGGAGGCCTTCTCTGACCTTGAAGACTTGGTAGGGCCCACTTTAAATGTTTTCACAGAACTCTATAGCCTCTTCCTGGCACACTTACTGTATTTCTAATTATGTGTCAATATCTGTTTCTTCTAGCTTTCTCCATCTAGATTATATGTTTGAAAGTTAAGGGGTTGTGTCTGTTTTCATTGTTGCCTTGTTTTTAGAGCAAAACACGGGGTTTAAATTATTTTAAATGCTTGTGTGTATACCACACACACACACACACACACACACATTGGAACTTCCTATTTCTACATATCTTAAATTGTATTTCTAATTCATAGTCTCTCCCACACTGATGTTGACTTTTCCGGACAATTTCTTCAGATCTACCTTCCAGTTTACTTATTTTCTCTTCACTTGTGTCTAACATAAGCTCTCTAACATATTCATAGAGGTCCCAATTTTAATCACCATATTTTCATTTCTAAAAATTCTATTTGATTCTTTAAAGTTTGGGGAGTTCTTTCAGTTTTGATGGTTCCTTCATTATACTTTCAGTTTGCTTTTTAATTTTTAATTTTTAAAAACATATTGTATGCATCTATTTTGTTTTCTGTCCCTGACAAGCTAGTAATTTTGCAGGTTTGGCTAGGTACATAAATTGTGTTTTATCATTCCTGGTGAGTCTTATTGATGGTGGATTATTTTGTGTTTGTTTAAAATTTTCATCATGAGCTCATGATCCTTGGATATTTATCTGGGGAAATAATTTCATATCTGGATTTAAGTTTTATTCTCCAGAAAGAACTTTTTGTTATTGTCATATTTGTAATATGAATTTTTTACTTGAAACACAGAGGTGATTAGAAATTGTCAGAGGCTATTTTGTCTGTTTTTCTGCCATTCTAGAGCCAAGGCCAAGTCGGTCACATTTCTAGGCCTGCTCCTACTGTGGGCATTTTTTCTCCAAGTTAGCCATGGAGAATTTTTTTTTTTCCTGGGGAGTCAGAATTATGTCAGTCATGGTTCCAAACTTCCAACCTGCTTAAAGTTCCAGGCTTTATCTTTTTATCTCCTGCATAGCTAACTCATTAAACCCCAGCTCTGACCCCCCAGGAATCCGCTAGTTCCCCAAAGGCAAACTCTAGCTCTGGGGTTTGTGCATCCCTCTGAAGTCTTACTTTCTTACTTCTTCTCTTTTGCTCTCGCAGATTTTTACTTAGTTTTTGGCAGCTCAAATATGAACAAATAGATGCTTTTAATATTTTGTCCAGAATTCTTGGTTTTTGTTTTTATCCCAAGAACTCTTTCTGAATATAACTGTGATGCTGAATACTGTCAACTTGATTAGATTGAAGGATACAAAGTATTGATCCTGGGTGTGTCTGTGAGGGTGTTGCCAAAGGAGATTAATGTTTGAGTCAGTGGGCTGGGAAAGGCAGACCCACCCTTAATCTGGGTGGGCACAATCTAATCAGCTGCCGTCGAGACTAGAATATAAGCAGGCAGAAAAATGTAGAAGAGAGACTGGCCTAGCCTCCCAGCCTACACCTTTCTCCCATGCTGGATGCTTCCTTCCTTCGAACAATGGACTCCAGGGTCCTCAGTTTTGGGACTTGGACTGGCTCTCCTTGCTCCTCTGCCTGCAGACAGCCTATTGTGGGACCTTGTGATCATGTGAATTAATACTTAATAAACGCCTCTCTCTATGTATCACATTAGTTCTGTCCCTCTAGAGAACCCTGACTAATACAATAGCTTTTGCAATATTACTGGAAATAACTAGCTTTAATAAATATTTGTTGGATGATTAATAAATTGACGTCTACTCTAATGAACAGAAGATTCTCTCTTCCATTGTTAGATCATTGCTGCATACCTAATAAACTGCCATTCAGGATGGGAAAATGCAATGGGTAAGGAATTATGTGTACTAAATAGCAATGCTTGTTTTCTTCATAAAAGTAAACCTCATAAACATTATTCAAATATGGAACTGGAAGGAGACTTCCTTGGTAGTGTGGGAGAATTGGGCCAAGTGATCCAGACCTGTTCTGGTGAGTCCCCTGGCTATTTCCCTTGAGTGTTTTTCCAAGTGTCCACTCACTGGCATGTAGGTCCTAAGGGGCTCCTGCCCCTCAACACTGGACAAATGACCACACACTTGCTACCTTATAGTGTACGGTAAATCTGCACTCAAAATTTTTGGTAGGTGCTTGGAAACCACAACTTCAAGTGAAATAATGTACTGTATAATGAGAGCAATTTTCCTATAGGGTAAGTGACATAAACAAGAGTTAAGTTCCTATGGCATGTAATTATGTGATTTTATCTTGTGACAAGGCCAGAGGGTTTTAACATGACTTTCCTGAAGGTTAAGGGATGTCAAAAGAGGTTTGGGGAGAGGGGAGAGATAGAGAGAGGGAGAATATATATATATATAGAGAGAGAGAATGCATGCCTGGTGGAAGCTCTACCCTTTTATGACCCAATCTTGAAAGTCACATAGCGTCACTTCCACCATACTCTAGTGATTGGAAAAATCCCAAGTCCCTGCCTAGAGGCAAAATTAGGGCATATAGGCCTCATCTTTTGATTGGAGGAGTTTCAGTCCTATTATATCAAGAGCATGTGGGATGTAAGGTATACATGCGTGACTGTGTATGTGTGTGTGCACCAGTATAGTCATACTTGGGAAATACAATCTGCCACACACATACACATTGTATAGTTGTTATAAACAACATATTACATCAGAAAACATCCAGCATAAGGCCAGGCACTCTGTAGTTGCTCCATATGCATTAATTCTCTTTTCTCTTGATTTCTTCCCTTTATATTAAAAAATGGTTTTTTATTTTAAGAGACATAAGATGGAAAAGAAACATAAACGGTGTTATTTTTCTTGCACGTTCTACTATATTGAGTTGTCAGGGCAGTAAATATCCATTTTACAAATGGGGGAATTATAGCTCAAAGCTGTTGAGTAATTTTTGTCTTAAACTAATTTGGTAGGATGATTTATTTTTTGTTCTCCACTTACGTTTTAAATAAACTTTTTATTTAAGTGTAACATAAGGATAGAGCTCGATGAATTTTTGCTAACTGCATACATCTGTGTCACCAGCACCCCTGTCAGAACCAGACATTGCCAGCAACCCTAAAGCACCCTTCACATCCTTCTCCAGTCACTAGCCCCTGCCTGCCCAGCCAAGAGGAACTGCTGTGTGACTTCTAGCACCATAGATTAGCTTCCTTGTTTCTAAACTGTATGTAAATGAAATCATAAAATATACCCTCTTCTGTGCTTGGCTCCTTTCACTCTCTGTTGGTTTGTGACATTTATCTATGTCATTATCTTTCATGGCTATATGGAATTCTATTTTATTAACATCCTACCATTTATTATCCGGTCTACAGTTGGCTGACAGATGGGGTGATTTCAGTTTGTGGCTGTTAAGGACAACGCTGCAGTGCACAATCTTGGCATGTCTTTAGGTAAATATGCCTACTTACTTTTAGTTAGTATACACAATTTGTTGTCCAAGTCCAGACACTTCTGAGAGTGAAAGGGTATGCTATTAATAATTATACAGAGATAATGAGTGTAAGTCAGGACTGTCCCAGGCGAACTGGGATTATTTTAGGTAGCCTTAGTGAAACTTACAAATGCAGATGCTCCCATGTCTTTGAATTTTTCTTAAAATATTCATCTAGCAGATCATATGGAGAGCAGCTTTGTCATCTGAATAATGGCAGGATTAGACCCTTACATCCATCTCCCATTATACCTTAAGCCTGCATGCCTAGAGAGTAACTCTGTGTAGGGGTGTGTGTGTGTGTGTGTGTGTGTGTGTGTGTGTGTGTGTGTGCTTTCTAGCATATGTGTTGTGATATTTTAATCTCTTCATATATAGTAAAGGCCTGTCTGCGGCCCTTATTAGAGCTGCGAGTAGGTGGTGTTTGTGGTGGAGGTGGTGTGGTTTCTGTTCTGAGCAGCGCATGGTCCAAGAAGCCTTTTATCTGAGGTGCTCTCTGTAGATCTGATCTGACCTTTTCTGAGGGGTCCTACTCTCATAGCTCCCTGTGAAGATTTGGAGATGGTGGCTTAGGTTGGGGCTATTCACTCTTAAATTCAAGCTTAGGCTCTGAGAGTTAATGAGAAAGGAAAAAATGAGTCCCCAAACTCAGCACTGAATAACATGAAATCCCTGGAGTAGAGGGAAAGTTTGAGTGGAACCCCCACTCCCAAGATGCTAGGTAAGCACCGTTATCCAGGCTGTAAACAAAGACAGTGCAATTCCTTCCCTATAGAGACAGATCTTGGAGAAATTCCCAGGGGAAACTGTGTCTAATCAGGTCCCTGAGATCGTCAAGCAGCTTAAATTCCTCTGTGATATGACAGCTGGGGTTCTGGTCAAAATGAGAGTTCCTAGTTTTTTTTCCTGAAGTTGTCAAGACCACCTGGGAAAATCCACAAACAGAAACCATGGTCTATTCCTTGAGCACCTTGGAGCCTGGGGTCTGTAAAAGCTCTGATTCTCAGCACCAAGGGAGTCAAAAGAGGTAATACGCAAGGCTGTGTGCTTTCTGCACAAGCAGCACCATTTTCTCTTTCTGGCTAATGGAAAAAGAGATGGCGTAAGGCCCAGCACTGAGTGGGGCCCGGGAGAAGGAAGGTGAAGGTCCGAATCCTGTCTTTCCTGATGGTCTCTTTGAAACCCACAACCAAGGGCTCTGGGAAGTATGGATCCCGTCTCTGCTCTCAACACTGACCCTGAGGTGAGATGGAATGGAGGGTCTTCGAGGAGGCGGGTGGGATGTAAAGAGCCAGCAGGTAACACTCTTGGCTTTCTCTCCAGATGGAAATCCACTATCTAGTTGGGAGACGGAGGCAGAGAATGGGAGGGCATCCTGGTGACCTTGAGAGCTCTGGTCTCTCAGCTCTTGAGGCAGCGGCCCAGGTTGTACTCTTGGTTCTCAGGGTGTCTTTCTGAGAGTCCCTGGGCAGCCAATTCAGGTGTGTTGTCTCCCTCGTCATCTCTCAAGCAGAGACGGAATTCTTGCTGCCCATGGTAACAGATGCTAGCTTGAATTCATGATCGGCCCAGCAGAGCTGAGATCCTCTCACAGACACGTTGTTAATACCTCAGGGTGGGGAGGTGTGTAGATGAGGGAGGATGGAAGAGAGGGCATCTGCACACTGGCTGGTCCACTAGAGTCTTCTTCCCTTAGCCATGCTTGTGCCTGTCATGACTCTTTGTGTTTTGCCCTCTGCTTCCCCAGACAGCTCGCCAAGAGAGAATGACTCTGAGAAACAGCTCCTCAGTGACTGAGTTTATCCTTGTGGGATTATCAGAACAGCCAGAGCTCCAGCTCCCTCTTTTCCTTCTATTCTTAGGGATCTATGTGTTCACTGTGGTGGGCAACTTGGGCTTGATCACCTTAATTGGGATAAATCCTAGCCTTCACACCCCCATGTACTTTTTCCTCTTCAACTTGTCCTTTATAGATCTCTGTTATTCCTGTGTGTTTACCCCCAAAATGCTGAATGACTTTGTTTCAGAAAGTATCATCTCTTATGTGGGATGTATGACTCAGCTATTTTTCTTCTGTTTCTTTGTCAATTCTGAGTGCTATGTGTTGGTATCAATGGCCTATGATCGCTATGTGGCCATCTGCAACCCCCTGCTCTACATGGTCACCATGTCCCCAAGGGTCTGCTTTCTGCTGATGTTTGGTTCCTATGTGGTAGGGTTTGCTGGGGCCATGGCCCACACTGGAAGCATGCTGCGACTGACCTTCTGTGATTCCAACGTCATTGACCATTATCTGTGTGACGTTCTCCCCCTCTTGCAGCTCTCCTGCACCAGCACCCATGTCAGTGAGCTGGTATTTTTCATTGTTGTTGGAGTAATCACCATGCTATCCAGCATAAGCATCGTCATCTCTTACGCTTTGATACTCTCCAACATCCTCTGTATTCCTTCTGCAGAGGGCAGATCCAAAGCCTTTAGCACATGGGGCTCCCACATAATTGCTGTTGCTCTGTTTTTTGGGTCAGGGACATTCACCTACTTAACAACATCTTTTCCTGGCTCTATGAACCATGGCAGATTTGCCTCAGTCTTTTACACCAATGTGGTTCCCATGCTTAACCCTTCGATCTACAGTTTGAGGAATAAGGATGATAAACTTGCCCTGGGCAAAACCCTGAAGAGAGTGCTCTTCTAATGGGTCTCTTCATATCACTGGCAACCGATTCTCGGTAAGCATGATACTCAAGTGTCTTTCTATTTATAGGCGGAGGAATTTTAATATTTTTCCTCAAAGAGGGTCTCCTCTCCACTTTTAAAAATTGGAAATCTCTTTCCTATACTCTCCTTGAGGACTATATTATTTTGCAACAATTAAATTGGCTCACTGCCTGCAAGTTAGTGTCTATGAAATGCCTTTTGTTTACTGAACTCTGTATTAGGCCCAAGAGATGAGTAAGATGAGGCTCCATGCCTTCCATTCTTTTCTTGGTAGGCTAAATGGGTTTTTCTGAGCAAGAACGTTTCTGGCTGGAACAAGGGGCAGGTGGTGGTATAAAGGTTGAGGAGTGTTTTCTCTTTAGTTACATAAGCAGACTTATTAAAGATCAATGGTAGATACCTTGGTGCCAGTGCTAATATGATTATATATCCAGCTCTTCAGGAGGTTGCTTGGTCAGGAAGATCATAAACCCTCCTTTTCATATACATGTATGTACATAAAAGAAGCCCTCACACAAGAATTTTCTATGATCTGCTCTGTAAGGATAAATCAAATCCAAATCTTTTATTTCAAAGTTCTAAAGCTTCTGGGCCTTGGAATGGTAATCAGGGGTAAGTGATCCTGTGTAATTGGGCCAATTTCTTAGGCTCCGGAGACTCAGGCTGGAAGAAGAAACAAGGAAGAACTCCACGGATTTGCATGATCTGTAAAATGTGGCCTCTGCCTTGCTCTGGAGATACTAAGCACACTACTGGATTTTAGGAAGATTGCTTATTCTTTAAAGTGGATTTAGATTTTACAGTTCTGACAACGTGTGTGCATGTTTATATGTGTGTGTGTGTGTGTGTGTGTGTGTCTGTATGTGTATTACAGTTAATCAATATAGAATCGGAAAGAAAGAGGAGTCATATTACACGTCCCACTCTCAGGGAGTCTGGAAGGGATCTGGATTTTGAGTGCCAAAGACCACTCTGTATTACTCTGCTAAAGGTTCTGCTGTTCTACATTGAAGAGTTCAGTGCTCCAGCTCGTGGCCAGGAGACATTCTGAGGGAGAGCTGAGAGCAGGGCAGAGAAGCAACTGCAGCACAGGTCTGACCAACAGGAGACGTGAGACAAACTCTATCTATCTTCTCCAAATCTGCTAGAGGAAGATCTTTGGAGGAGAAAAACTCTGATACTTGGATTATGCTTTGATTATGATAATAATGACACTTAACAGTTACTGAACTTGCACCATGTGTTTGTGCACCATTTGAGGTACCTTAAATATATTAATTCATTCATTGGAATTGATTTAATACCTTACTCAACCACTGCTGGTCAGTCCTCTGGGCCTTGCTGAATCCCACCCTCCAGTGGACTGTCTGTGTCTAGGTCCATGGGGGTCTTGGGATATTAGAAAAGAATCAAGAATAAGGAAGGACAAAAGTAAATCTACTTTGATACGGATAAAGAAAAAAAAACAATTACCATTGGTATAAATGAGCGGGAACAAGAACTAAGTCAGGGCATAGGATATGAATGGAAAGGAACAATTATGTAATCAATGCATCAAAGTCCAAGAATAACTTTCCCTGCATTCACTCCATATTGGCACTGGGGTGAGTAGCCGTGAAAGTATGTTTGACTTAATGAGACACTGGCTTGGCTCTTTTGGAAAGAAGTTCCTTTTTGACTGAGGATCTTACATGACAAAAACTCAGAGAGACTTTTCTTGGCTCTTGTAAAGCCAAATAAGAGCATCTACTGCTTCCACAGAAAATGCAACATTAAATAAATTCAGAAGGCCTGCACTTCTGTCTCAAACCAAGGATGGGTCATCTTGCATATTGTTTTGGGTTGACGTTAAGGAATTGTTTGTTCTCACAGTGTTAAACAAATAGAAGGAGGGTTGAGGGCTGTGGCATTACAGTAACAGAGAAGTAAGTTGAAACTGAGTGTCAGATCTGTCCTAAATGAGTCCTTCTGTCACAAGACCACGACTCCATCATCTCCTCACGTCATGACGTTTTAATTTCTAGCAAGGCTACTTTTTTCTCTTTAGGAAGCATCCTTAAGGTTGAGATTCCTCTAGGTTCAGTTCTTGGTCTCCTTCTCTTCTGGGCTCTTCCTGAGGCATTTCTCTGACTCAGGTGACTTCAACAACCACGCATTTGATGGTGACTTTCAAATCTATAACTCTGACCCTGAGCTACAATCAGAATCTGTAATCAGTTGTAAACTGGAAACACGCAAGTCTTATTAACATTGATGTTCAAATAGAATTGTTTAACGATTAAGTGATGACATAGTTTTGGAGTATCAGGAGGAGTAAACTGTTGTCTCTCACATTTCTAACCATGTGGGAGAATATAGGTAAGTGACCCTCCAAGTAGGAAGAGCGAGAGTACAAGGAGAACTTCCAGTGGATCTTTGGAAGGAAAAGGACGTGGTTTCCCTGTGCTCAAGAGGCAGATGAGAGGATGTCCGTGGCAGACTCAGCGTTAACTCTTAGCTTAGATGCGTAGTGCCCTTTCTCCCCTCACACTTCCACAGCAGAAATGTATCATTTACAAACCACTTCAGCTGCTGGTAACCAAAGTCTGACTGCAGTGGCTGAAACATATAAGTGTTTATTGTCCTCCAACATAAACGGCATCCAGAGGTGGGCAGTCCAGGACTGATTTGACAGTGCTGAGTCATCAAGCACTCAGTCTCTCTCTCCATCTTTTTTCTCTTCTTTCTAGCTAGAGATTTCATTCTCAATAATGCATCATGATTTCCAGATGGCCACTAGAGCTCTTAAGATTTTGTCCATATTTCAAGCAGCAGGAAGACACAGGGGTAAGCATAAGCAAATGGGTACTTTACCTATTTAACGTATGACTGCTACTGACAAGTTATTAACTATCCCTACCTGCAAAGGAGGCTGAGAAACTTAGCATTTCACTTGATAGCATTATCATCCTTAAACAACAGAATTTTGTTGCTAAGGAAGAAGGTGCTAACATGGCTATTGTGCAGACAACTAGCAGTATCCACCAAAGGATAGAATACCACTTGCCAGGAGGGAACAATTTAGAAGTGAATACACTCTATCCATATTTTTGCTTTCTTACTTTGTCCACTCTGTGAGAGAAGGTTAGATTAATTGGACAGGTAAGATTGAAAAAGACTGACAAGTTGGTCATTGATGGAAATGTGCCCAGTGTCTTCATCACCAAACTATTGGTACTAACGTAAGGCAAGCTCATGGTGAGGACAAGCCAGAATCTGTGCTATTTCAATCCTAACCTCTACTGCTGTCTCCTACTGGGTTAAGTTAGAGTCCGGGTTCTGAGAGGGAGGTGCGAGTCCTGACATCTTTGCCTCTTCAGCATGGCTATGAATAAAGATGCAATGGTATTTTCATCCTCTTTTGGCTCCAGTCATTCTCACTAATTAGACCCACAGGAAAGGGGGAGTGAGTGATTAATATTGCCAAATTTCCCACATTAGAGCTGTCTCTGCACTTTTAGCACAAGGACTTCTGGTAATTGAAGCTCTCATTTTCTTATGATTTGAAATGACCCCTCTTGCTCTGGTAGTGGGTTATTGGAAACCATATGAAAAATAGAGTGTCTGAGAGGACACAAAGTGCAACTCAAATAGGGCTCTACTCGTTAATTTTAGGTGTCAACTTGACTGAATTAAGGAACACCTAGGGAACTGCTGGGTGTGTGAGTGTGAGGGTGTTTCCAGAGGAGGCTGGCATGTGAGTCAGTGGACCCAGTGGGGAAAACCTGCCCTCAATGTGAGTGGGCATCATTCAGTCGGCTGGGGGCCCAGACAGAACAGAAAACGCAGAGAAAAGGATTTCCTCTCTCTCTTGGAGCTGGGAAACTGTTCTCCAGTCCTTGGATATCAGAACTGCAAACTCTTTGGCTTTGGGACTCCAGGACAAACTCCAGTGGTCCCTGGATTCTCAGGTCTTTGGGCTTGGACTGAGAGTTAACCCATTGGCTTTCCTGGTTCTGAGGTTTTCACACTTGGACTGATCCACACTGCTGACATCTCAGAATCTCCAGCTTGCAGACAGCTTGTCATAGAAATTCTCAGCCTCCATAATCATTTGAGCCATTTTCCCTAATAAATCCCCTCTCATCTATCTATCTATATCTATATCTAATCTATATTTATATCTCTGAGCTATCTAATCCAGTTGATTCTTTCTCTCTGGAGAACCATGAGTAAAATACAAGGGCCATGGAAGGAGGGCTCATTGTCAGCTAATAGGGAAATTTGACAGGAAAATTTAGGCTAGATGACTCACAATTTCACAGAATAGCATGTGGAAGACATGAACAGAAAATGGTGTTCCAGTTGATGGCAAATAGGGTTTGGTACTATCTGTGATTTCAGGTATCTACTGGAGACTTAGAATATATCCCCTAAGAATAAGGGGGTACTGTGTATTAAATGACACCCATGTGAGGCAATGTATTTGTTAACTAGCTAGATTTAGCCATTCTACATTGTAAATGTACTTCAAAACATCATGCTGTACATGATAAATACACACAATTTTGTCTGTCAAATTAAAAAAGGTAAATGTTCTAACTTCTTTGTTAAAAGAACACGAGTCAGACTGGATCAAAGAGCAGAATACAACTCTATGTGGCATACAAGAAACCCATCTATAACCAGGTGATTCAGAAAGATTGAAAATAAAATGGTGACTAAAGATATAACAGGTAAATATAAACAAACAAGCAAACAAACAGGCTGACTTTCAGTCAGAATGGAAATTCAGTCAAAAAATGTTAAATGCAAAAGCGTTATAATGGTATAGGATACAATTTACAATAAATATGTAATGGTTATGAGTCTCTCTGCACCACATAGTAGAACATCAGGAGTTATAAGAGAAATTAACATTATTGGAAGGGAACTTTAAATTACAGCTTTTAGTCTCTGATAAAGCAGGTTTATAGAAAAAGATAAAAGATGTAGAAAATGTCAAGAAGATAATAGAGAGATAAATCTAATTACTTACATAAATTAGTTTTTTCTATATAAACATCCAATTTTTTATGTGTATGTGTGTGTGTGTGTGTGTGTGTGTATGTGTAGTTCTGTGTCCTAGATATTAAAAACATACCTTTTAATCAAAGGGTCAAAAAACAGTCACATGAAGAGTGAATATTAGGTCACAAAAGCAAACTTCAATAAATTTGATATATTAAAAATAGTCCCATCAATGTTCTTTGATCATCATGCAATAAAACTAAAGCATAATTATGTAATTAGAAAGCAAAAATACTTTATTACTTTGATATTTAACATTTTCTTTTAAGCTACTTGCAGATCAAAGAAAAAATATAAAATTGCAGAATGCCTAGAAAAAAGCTATGAAAATGTAACCTTTTATAATTTATGAGATAGTATACAGCTAAAACAGAAAAATAATTTTAAATATTATATTAAACAAGCAATAAAGATAAATAAACAATTAACTTATGGGTCAGAAAAAGATGTAGTAAAATTAAAAGAAAACAGAGTAGGAATTAATAAAGTTAAAATCAGAAAATATTGAATTAGAAAAAAAACAGTAGAGATAATAAATACATTCAAGAGCTTGTTCTTTCAACATTAGTAATATATATCAGCTGCTGTCTCTCCTAATTCAGAGAAAAAGAAGAAAGAACAAATAAGAAATTACAAAGAGGGAAAACCATAGAAATAGAGGACATTAAAATAATGACATTTTTGAGCATTAGTCAAGTGAAATAAAAGGCCTGAATGAAATGGACTATTTTCTAGCAAAATATAATTAAAGAAAATGAATTCTCGATCAGATAGAAAATCCAAAGAGTCAGTTCCATAGAAGCAATGGAAAAAGTTGTCAGAGTTACATCACAAAAATTACTTTCCCAGGTGGTTTCACAGGAGAAGTCTACCACAGAAGAGATAATTGCAACAGTATTTAAACTGGTTCAGAGCTTAAAACAGAAGAAAAACTCCCTCCAAAGTCATTTTTACAAAGTGAGCACAACATTGATGCAAAATTTGAGAAGACTGCATACACAAAAAGAAAATCACAGACAAATATTACTTTGGAATATCAACACAAAGTACTGAATAAAATATTAGCAAACATTTAGCAGCAGAAAAAAGAGTAATCATATCCAGGTGGGATTTATTCCATAGATGCATGGACGCTTCAACATTAGGAAATCTACTAATATAACATATTTTAAAATACAGCTGAGGATAAAAATCAAGTGATCATTTCCATACATGCTAAAAAGATATTTATTCAAATTTATCACCCATTATTGATTAAATTTGCTTTATGAAATAGGACTTGGCCTGGCGCTGTGGCTCACGCCTGTAATCCCAGTACTTTGAGAGGCTGAGGCGGGCAGATCACGAGGTCAGGAGATCGAGACCATCCTGGCTAACACGGTGAAACCGCTGTCTCTACTAAAAATACAAAAAAAATTAGCCGGGAGTGGTGGCGGGCGCCTGTAGTCCCAGCTACTGGGGAGGCTGAGGCCGGAGAATGGCGTGAACCTGGGGGGCAGAGCTTGCAGTGAGCCAAGATCGCTCCACTGCACTCCAGCCTGGGTGACAGAGCCAGACTCCATCTCAAAAAAAAAAAAAAAAAAAAGGACTTGATAGAACTAATTTGAAGTTTGTACCTCTTTTTTTTTTCTTTTCTAACCTAGTGCTAAAAACTTTCTTGGCTCTTTTTCCTTTTATTTCTACGGATCTATGACATTCATCAAAGTACTCTTCGTCTTTGAGAAAAATTCACAGAATTTTATTTTTTATATTATATTACTAATACAAAAATATGCTGTACTAGGTGTAGCATAACATTGTTACTGCCTTGTTCATGTGTATTTATAGCTTCTTTTATCTTCCAGCTATTTCCAAATTTTGGATAAATATTCTGGGCTCCATAATTGATACAGTGAAAAACACAGCATACTATCTTTAGCTAAGGACAAAAGGGCTATCTACAGAATGAAGTTTCTTTGTTTTCTTAACTGCAATCAGTTTCCTAGCACAAACGATCTTTTAATCCTGAAACTGTGTGGAGTGGATTGAATACCTTTCCATGTAGCTCCCACTTGTCGTGCTTCTTAAAAGGCAGAAATAACATGCGTTCTGCTGGATGTCATCTTTTACAGAGGAGTAAATTGATATTCAGAATTAAGGAATCAGCTGAAGGTCCCCAGAAGGTGGCAGATTCCATTTTTAAACCCTTCTTTATCTGGCTCCAACTGCTGTGCTTTTTTTTTTTTTTTTTTTGCACCAAGACACATTGCATTCCAGAAACGAGTGGAAAGAAATAGTATGAAACAGAGAAATAGAGAAGTAGAGAATGGCAATCTGGAGAAATGACTGGCAATCAACATGAAAGAAAGAGTGATCACAGAAATGGTGTTCCAAATCCCTATATGTGAGAAATAATCTGTGTGGATTTAGACGCCAAAGTGGACACATGCAGGTATCTTTAAAGAGTTTGTCCCCAGGGCTGGATGAATAAGGTTTGCAACAAAGAAACATTTAATCATGATTTGTTTTCAACAATAGCTCTCACAATGAAGCCAACCTCATTCTGGGAATGTGTCACTCTTTAGAAACATTGTGTAAAATAAAAGACGTTATCATGTTACTTTATATATTGAAATAAGTACAAACAATTTTGTAATACAACTTAGTAATACAAATCGTTCTGGTGAAAACACACAAAAGCTAGATACTATCTTCTTAACATCATTTATTCCAATGAGTTGAGAGTAAGGCTATTATTTCTTTGGGATATACAGTCTTGGAGATTTGTAAAGTTTATATTTTTATCAAATGATTTTAAGATGATTATAAACACTGTTTTATAGGAATACATTTAGACCATAGACTATACAGCTATTGTATAATAATGAATTCACCTAACCGTTCACTCATTCAGCAAACATTTATTGTGCTCCTAATATGTTCTACGTCTTGGAATAGAGCAGTAAGCAAAACAACAACAAAAATACTTAGAGCTAGCATTACAGTGATCTATTATATTGGAATTACTTGCTTATATTTGTGTATGTGATTTATACTGTAATTGTCATATCTTAGCCATTCTTCTCCTTTGTACAATATAGAAAGTGCTTAACACGTTTTGCAAATTAAATATATTCAACCTGTTTAAATTTTGTTCTAATGGACAGCTTTTTAAAAAAGTTTATGTTTTAACAAGGAGTTTAAATTTTCATGTAAGGAGTTATGTAAAATCCATGGCTATACATGTTAGGGGCCCGAGAAAGATGTGAAAAACGAAATCTCAAACAAAAAAATTTTTTTTTTTTTTTTTTTTTTGGTTTAAGCAACGTTACTGAATCACCAGCACAACCTAGTGGCTACTTAAGTGAATTGCCTGCTTCGGTGTCAATTTTTTTTCCTCTGGTTGTTTTCTTTCTTGTACTGGCCAGGCATTTTAAAAAAGTATATTTTAAAAAGCACATTACAATTTTATAAGCATTATAAAATTAAAACATATAACTTTTTGTAAGACAAATATAGGTGTTTTCAACATACTGTATGCACTGCTCTTCTAATAACAATGTGATTAGAAAACTTGTCTCTCCATAATAATTAATTTCTTGGTGGCAAGAAGACTGTCATGCACTTTTAAATTATGATCTGTATCTCCCACAGGAATATAAGCATTTTGCGAATTAAAAGCAATTGCTGTTTTACTGATTTGCAACATTTTGAAGGGTTTAGTGGGTTTTATAAGTCATTGATGAGTTAATAGAGTCTAGAAAAGGTATCTTTGTCCGATCTATGATATTTATACTCTAAGGATTGGAAATGACACTTCCTTCGAGTTATCATGACTAGAAATATCCAGGCAAAAGCTGAATGATCATCTGACAGAGATGTTTTAAGATATATTTCACCAGGCACAGGAGTGTTTGCACTAGTGTTTGCAGGAGTGTTTAACCTCTAATCCCAAGATATTAAAACCACAGATGATTCATTAAAATAGATAATTTTCATCTACCTGTGCTCCCACTAAGTAATGCAGGAATCCAACTCCTCTGATGTCCCTTTAAGAATTTCCGAGTCTCCAAAAACATCTGATTGTGCTCAGGAACCAGTTGCCTCACCGGCAGTGCCCTAGTCTTCCAGGCATCCACTGACTTTCTCCTGCAGCCTCCTCCTTCCCCCAAAGTCAGAGGATGTAGACTGCTCTGAAGGGGGAGAGGGGAGAAAGGGGCTCAATGCTCATTCCCTGGCGTTTCTGACAGCTCAGCCTGCTGCCCTCTCTCTCCTGGGCTCAAGAACAGTATGTGGGAATACGGACACATTCCCCAAGGCTCTGTTACCGGCTCCTGACACAGAATTCCACATTTTTGGCCCCTCATTTCCCACTTCCCATGCTAATCTGCCGCTTCTTGGACGGTGAGCGATTTTATTCCTTTTCTTTCTTTTCATTTATCTGTGTAAAAAAACATTGTTGAAGTGAGCACCAACAATGTACTAGGCCCTGCATTTGGCACTGGGGATATCACACTGAACAGTGCAGACATCTTCCCAGTTCTCACAGAGCATCCGAGCTTATTCTGACAAGTAACAGAAAGTAACTCTAGGAGTTGATGGAAAGAATATTGGGGATGTAAAGTAATTTGGAGTGGGTTGTAAAACCATACTTGCAGAACTGTAAGAACCAAGACAACCCCAGAGGCCAAGACCAGGACATATTTCAGCAAGAACAGTCTGGCCAAAATGCCACACCCCTGCTCCGTACATCTCACACTATCCTTGGATCCTGCTGAAGCCATGCAAATGGTTCCCAATGGTTCCATTTGTTTGTATCATTGTAGATTAATTTCTCAGGTGGGAGCATGCACCTAGATACTGCTGACCTAGGTCAAGGTGCCCGTTTTCTGGCTGCCAGGTGGTATGGGGAGGGACCTTCTCTCCTACATGGTTTCTGCAGTGGGAAGATGGGTGTTGAGTCCCTCCAACATGACACTGAATGGAGGATTTCACCCAGAAGACACAAGCTCATACAGTTGACTGACATTTTTAACTCTGGTTATAACCTATGGCTTATTTACATAATATCAACTGTAACATTTGGGGGTGTTGTTCTTGCTGTCTTTCATTGCATTTGATTAAATCATATCAAGGATTCAGGTCATTTCTCCCTAACTGATATTTCATTTGTTTTCATACTTCTAGGTGCTTTTTATTTCTGGTGGAAGCATTGAGTATTGGTGGAACTGAATACTAAGCTGTCTGGCAAAGTAGAAATCTAATCTCCAGAGGCTCAGCTCCAGCATCATAAAGAAAAGTATATCCCCAGAGTCAAAGCATAAAGGAAAAGAATAGGTGTATGGATTTGGACAGAGAGGAAACCATATACATATGCCTAATGATTTATATATTGGTTTACTCATTACATTAAAAAATAATAACAAAGGACTGAGATTAACCTCAGTTAATAACAAAGGACTGAGATAGTCCTTTGATTATTCATCAAAGAGGGACAGATCAAATAGATTTTCAGATATCTGTACAAAAACTGCTATCTAGGTGTATAAAAAATGAAGACTACCTTTATGTATGAAATAATCTCCAAAAGATATTGTTAAGTGGAAAAATCTCTCTTACACCATTGTTCCAGTCTAGCCTGGTTGGTCCATATGGTGACTGCACAGGTATCTGGGACTCCTCTTTACTACTCTTCTGAATCTACTCTTCCTGGGTCCTAAGTCTTACTCATTCTTCAGTCGTTTCTCAAGAAGTGATAGATAGGAAATTAAAAGCGAGTTGAAAAACAGTGCATACAGTATACTACTATTTGTGTAAAATTTGTGGGATAATGCATGTGAATTTCATTATGCAGTTATGCACTGCATGATGATGTTTTGGTTGATGACAGATTGCACATATGATGGTAGTCCCCTAAGATTATAATGGAGCTGAAAAACTCCTATCCCCTAGCAATGTCATAGCCATCAAAAGGTAAAGACATAGCACAATGCATTACCCACATATTTGTAGTGATCCTGGTGTAAACAAACCAACTGTGCTGCCAGTCATATCAAAGGATAGCACATATTATTATGTACAGTACATAATACTTACTAATGAATGACTGTTACTGGTTTATGTATTAAGCTTACTATACTCTTTCATCATTATTTTGGAGTGTACTTTTTCTACGTATTAAAAAAAATTAACTGCAAAACAACCTCGGGCAGGTTCTTCAGGAGGGATTCCAAAAGACGGCATTGTTACCATAGGAGATGACAGCTCCATATGTTATTGTCCCTGAAAACCATTCAATGAAACAAGATGTGGAGGTGGAAGACAGTAATATTGATGATCCTGACCCTGTGTAAGCCTAGGTTAACATGTGCATTTGTGTCTTAGTTTCTAACAAAAGCATTTATAAAGTAAAAATGTTACAGTAACCTAAAGTTAATTTATTATTGAAGAAAGAAAAATATTTTAAGATAAATTTAGTGTAGCCTAAGTGTAGAGTGTTTATAAAGTCTACAGTAGTGTAGAGTAATGTACTAGACCTCCACGTTCACCTGCCACTCACTCACTGACTCACCCAGAGCAACTTCCAGTCCCACAAGCTCCATTCATGGTAAGTACCCTATACAAGTGTACCATTTTTAATCTTTTATACCATATTTTTACTGTACATTTTCTATGATTGGATATGTTTAGATACAGCAATACTTACCATTGTGTTACAATTGCCTACAGTACAAAGTACAGTCACATGCTGTAGGAGTTTGTAGCCTAGGAGTAAGAGGCTGTACCATGTAGCCTAGGTGTGTGGCAGGCTGTATGATTTAGGTTTGTGTAAATTCACTCTGTGATGTTTGCATAACCACAAAATCACCTAACAACACATTTCTCAGAATATAGTCCTAGTCTCTAAGCAACATAGGACTGTATATGAATAAAATATCACTGATAGCATTGATAGTAACTGGTAGCACTGGTTGCCTCCAGGGAGGACAGCTAGATGGCTGAGAGACAGGGGTATAAAGGAGACTTTCCTCTGCATATCCTTTTTGAATCTTTTGAATTTTGAACCATATCATTGCATTATGGACTTAAATCATTTTAAAAAAAACCCCACAATACTAAGAAGCTGCATTTTCCTTACAGAATATATTAATTCTAAATATATATATATAAATATATATATAAATATATATGTGTGTGTATATATATATATATGGAGCTAAATTTAGGCAGAGGTGGTGGTGGTGATAAGAGAATGTGGTAAAAGAAAGCTTTCCAGGGGAAACAACATCCAAGGAAGAAACAGCGGTGAAAAGCCTAAGACGGAAAAGAGAACGTGTGGCATCCTAAACAGTGCTTTCCTCAAGAAAAATATCTACTGAAATGAGAACATGTTCATGATAGCAAGAGATATAAAAAACCAGAGTAAAAAATTTCCCCTGGCTCAAAGAATCAGCAGGAAAGGTTTTGAGATGTGTGAATAATGTAGAATCATAGACCACAGCAAAAATTACCATGTGGGAACTACAGGTGCTGAACACTTTCAGCTGATGAGATGTGGAGGATATCGAAGAGGATCAGGGCATAAGAAATGAAACTAATGAAATGAAGCTAGGGGCAAGAATTCAATCTTATTTATCATTTTCTATGGTCCTATTAAAAACAGATCTCGGCTTTTTTTTTTCTGGTCTTTATCACCCTATCACTAAATATATGCAGTTGCTTCTTGATTTTTCAGTGTTAGGCCTAAATAAAAAGTCAACTGGTTTTCAGTTTAGGATATCAGAATTAACTTCATTTTTTACCTCCCTTCAACACAAATATACTTTCTGTTCTCTTTATCCTCCCAATACAGTTTATTTTTTGTAGTTGGATTCATATTCAGTGTTTACATAATTATAAGAATGTAAATGCTTTGCTTATGTAAGTACTGTAATGTGTTTTGATCATTTTTCTTTCACTACCTTTGTTCTTTCTAGAATAAATAATGGTTTTGGTTTTTCATTCAATTTTCTATGTACTTATAATAAATTCATCTTAACACTCTCTCTGTTGTTTAAATCATCTTTCCATACTTACAAAACTTGGTGTTCGAAAGCAAATATACTTAACTTAAATATAATAAAAGTTTCCATGTTACTCATATAGAGTTTAAAATAAGTTTTTCTAAATGGAGGGCAGCTCCATAAAGTAATAAACTTGGACCCAAGACCCTTTTCTCATGTTGCTATGTCATCTCTAACACATGCTCTTCTGCATCAGTGAGGCCAAAGAGGGAGCATCGTGAGAGATGATGGAAGTGAAGTTTTTGTGAGTTTGGAACGGACACACTTAACTTTTGCTTATGCTCCATGGCTAGAACTCAGTTATGGCTGTACTTAAGCAAAAGAGACTCTGCGAAAAGTATTCTAGTTTTGTGATCAGGAAGAAGATAAAATGAGTTTGTGGGACATCTAGCCTGTCCATACTTTGTATGCCTTGACCACACCTGGCATGTCGGAAAGTGTCTTTATTTTATACTCATATTTCAATGATACAGTAACATTCAGTATGTGAACTGCCAATTATTTCCCTCAGTTTTAGTATAGTACTTCTCCACACTCAAGTGCCTTCTATTCTAGAGATGTTTCATTTTTCATCTCTGCAGAATAAACCTCCAGTCTTCTGCTGGGGTGTAGGAGGATCACTCTTCTGGATGCACCGAGTAGAAGAGAGAATCTGGGGATCTGCCTACTTCTGTAACAGACTTTCAAGCCGCCTTCCTGTTTTTATGCTCACCATCACCCCTACTTTCAGAGGTGAGCTGTGCCACCACATTACTGAGCACGTGAGACACGCTATGGCGTAATCTGGATATTTGCTTCCACTACGGAGCTCTGAATTCAGCTTTCTGGGGACCACCGAGTCAGTTACTGATTATCACTGTGCCTTCCAGCTTTCTGATTTTTTTTTTTCCTGCTGTCTTTCCCCTGTGTTCTTGTCCCAGTAAGTTAATGAAACATGCTTGTTCTTCTGCCTTGTAATGCCTTCATTAACATTTTAGTGGGCTTTCAGAAAGTAGCAGTGGTTAAAATGGATGAGTTCAACTGTATTTCTCTAACCCAAAGTCCTCTGGCTAAGTCTCTAAGGTGATGTCTGTGAGCACACAAAGCCTGCACAATTCTATCTATTGGCAAAAACACTCCTCTCCTGAGCTGATATACCTTTGCTTAGATAAAGGATCCTTGAGATCTAAACTCCACAAGTAAGTTATCTGATTATTTTGGAAGGTTTACTTATTCATTTCATCAAATAAACATCTGTAGAGGATTTAAGTATGAAGATTCTCTGAACACAAAAAGAGATAAGATACAGATTTGCCCTTTGGCCTAATTGAAGAAGCAACAGAAGAAACTGAGAATTGCACAACTAATGGGTAACTGGTGTTAACAATGCTAAGCTCTTTTATTAACTTACCTTTTAAAATCTCTACACAAGTATCTCTGTTTTACACAGGTATCAACCAAGGCTTAGCTTAAATGCTTTTGCCCAAGTTGCAAAAACTAGTGGCAGAGCCAGGATTCAAACACAGATCTTTCTTAATGTAAAATTTATCTCTGTTACAGTGCTATACATAAAAATGAAAGTAAGCGCTGCCACAGAAATTTGTACAAGGTACAATAGTGCCATATATTAAGAGCCTTTTCATTCGAAGTGATTGCTTTTCAGTAATTACTTTCGGTAATTCAGATTTAACAAACCTGAGCCAAATCAGTTTAAACAAAAAAGTTCATTTAATGGGAAAGTCCAAGTAATGCAGGGCAGGCGAGCCCCTACATTGGGGCTTAACCTGGGAGAATTCTTGGCTTCTCTCAGAAAAGAATTCCGAGATGAGCCAGTGGTAATAGACAGCAGCTTTTATTGAAGTGGCAATGTATGGCAGCAGCAGAGGTACTGCTCCTCTCAGGGGCAGTGTGCACTGTGCAGCAGCTCAGAGGTTGTTCTGCAGTCCTATTTATACCTACTTCTAATTGCATGCAAATTAAGAGACAAGTTATTCAGAAATTTCTAGAAAAGGGGTGGTGACATTGAGTATTGCCATGGTAATGGTAAATTTTCATGGCACTGGTGAACATGTCTTATGGGGAGGCGCCTTCCATGCCTCTTTCCTGCTTCAGCCAGTCTTCAATTTATATGAAGGGCAGCTCCCTAAAATAGTAGATGGAGTCGAGTCCTGCCTCCTAGGGACACATTTTGCTTCAGATTTGTCTGGATCCAAGGGGTCACAGGGATTGTGCCTCTTTTTCAATTTTTCTGATGTGCTTGGTTCTATGTGGCTTTTTCTTAGACAGATTTCTTCACCTATAGACAAGAAGACCCCATTCTGCTCCTTATGAACATGTGTCTCCACCTTTATTACTCTCAGCCATGGAAAGAGCCACTTACAATAAAATTTTCAGAAAAATAGGACAGGAGAGAATGTTCTCAATTTAGCAAAAGAAACTTATTAAAAAACTACATCTTACATCATAGTTAATGGTTGAAGACTGAGTACTTTCCCCAAAAGACTGGAAACAAACTAAGATTATTCTCTCTCCTCTATGTTTGGTGAAGAGCCTAGCTTGTTGAAATATGACAGAAAAATGAAATAAAATGCCAATGGATTGAAAAGGAAGAGGACAAATAAGCATTGTTCACCTAAAATAATTGCTTATGTAGAAAATTATTTTAAAAATTACAAAACAAAAATACCAGAGCTAAAAAATGAATTCAGGTCTCAGGATACAACGTCATCAAACATAAATCAACTGTGTTTCTATATACTGGCCACAAAAATTTGGAAAGTTACATTAATACATACATCATTTATAGTAGCATCCCAAACTAACTTAGGAATAAATTTAATGAAAGATGTGCAAATGTCTAAACTGAAAACTTTAAAACCTTGCTCTGAGAAAGAAAAATAATATGAATAAATGCAAGATACATGATATTCATGGAATGGAAGATACAATGTTATTAACATGTCCGTCTATTAGATCTGTAGATTTAATGCAATTCCAGTACACATATTGTATCAATATGTTCAAAATTCTCAGAAAAATTAAGCTTTAAACTGGAGGTTTAAATTAACTTTTAAACTGGAAGTTAAACCCTACCATTGCCAATCAAAGAAGAAGGCAAAAAAGAGGCAATTTCAGACAGGCAATTTCTATAAAATTTGTATTTCATGTACATTTTCTCTAGAAATTAATAGAAAAATTTTCAATCAAAATGAGGAAGAAAACTATTACAGTTGAGAGGAATGTAAGGAGAATTGAAAATTAAATGTAATGGGGTAACCTGGATGACCTGGCACAGAAAAATGACATTAGGTGAACACTGAAGCTATATAAATACAGACTTTAGTTAATGAAAATGTAACAACATTGGTTTATTAATTGTAATAAGTGTACCATACTAAGGTAAGATTTAATATTAGGGGACATGAGAGTGGGGTATATGAGAACTCTCTGTACTACGTTCTCAATTTTTCTATAAATCTAAAACTATTCTAAAAAATGAAGTTCACTTTAAAAATGGAGAGAGAAATGAAGAAACAGGAAAACAGAATCTAGAAAACAGGTTACCTAACACAGGTATGAGGTGAAGAGAATTCCCAGAAAGATGGTGACAAGAGATCTCAAAATGTTAGATTTTCAACAAAGCTAGAGGACATCCCATTAAACTTCTGATCTGGTAGTAGATCACAAGTTTCTTAGGATGACATTTTTGAGAAGATGAAATTTTTGAAATATCAGCTAACATCATATGGCTACAACTGTATATAGTGAGAAAAGATATATACAAATGGAGAAGAGGTCATGAGGATAATTCAAGGAAATCATAGACTATCAAAGCAAATGAGAGCCCCCAAAAACATTTGCTTCATGGAAAATGAAAAAGAAATAAAATAAAAATGATTCTGGTATCTGATCTATTATCTGTAAATAGTGTTTAAAATTGTGTTAATAATGCAACTACTGAATATTTATCTAACCAAATTTATAATTATTATAAGCCATATTACAAGGATAAGATTGTGCGTGTGTGTGTGTGTGTGTGTGTGTGTGTGTGTGTGGTGAGAAGGAGGTTACAAAGAACAAATTCTTTTATTCCATAAGAACCCACATTAGAAAATCAAGTGTAATCCAATCAGGAGGTGAAGAGAGGCTTACGAAAGCAATGTATTAGAGAGGAAAGACCAGAGCAAGATTTTGAAGAGATAGCTTCTCTGGGACATGAAGCCTGGATGAAGAAGGTGAGTGAGGAGCAGATGCTTAAATTTAGTAACCTGGGTGGTCATGAAAATAATTTAGACAATAATGAACGGAGAAGGAGTGGTTCTGGAAATCATAAGAAAATGCTGACTGCAGTTTGGGACACTTTGAACTTGGGGCACATAAATACACATAAAATAAAAGTGTTCAGGGAGCACGCAGGGAAAAGGTTCACGTTTTATATATATAGGCGAATATGAATGAGGAGAAGGAGAACAAACACTTACCAGACTCTTTCCATATTCCAGGCAGTGTTCTAATACTTTCCATGTACTAAATCATTTAACCCCCACGGCAATCAATTACTATTCTCATTTTACAGAGGAGGAAACAAGGGTCAAAGAAGTTACATAACATCTAAAATCTCACAGGAAGTGCAGAAATAGTCTAGATTTAAATTGAGGCAGTCTGACTTAGCTACAAAGTAGCTACAAAGACTTAGCTACTTTGCTACAAATATCTTTATAGAAGAGAAATCCACAATCACATATGGTGTCAAAGCTATAATCTACGATTTTACTAACACAATCCCAAAGGCATGTAGGAAAGTAGAAATGGCAAGTGACTGTATCCCTGGACTTTCCTTTTGTAGCACTGTGCATAGACTCCAGGGGAAAATGAAGGAAGTGACAAAGGGAGCATTCACTCTTCTGCATTGGAGATTGGATTTCCCGACATGAAATTATAAACTAAGTAAGAATGCTGAGTACAGAAGGATCCAAAGGTAGGTCTATGACACAGGATGTACACACAGGCTCAGTAATGTAAACCTTTAAGAGGCTCATCCAACTTTAGAGGAAATTGCAATGGAAAGAATCATTCTCTGGGCTTTGAATCACTTTCTCCAGAGCTGTAGGGCGTGAAACAAATTCCCATTCAAGCCATTTAGGCTTCTAAAGTTGTTTTACTGCTTGCTTGTGAAGAGGGCCTTCTGGGCAAGTTTTCAAATAGAAGTCATGGAAAATTCTCCAAAGAACTCTTACAGCTTGTCAGAGACTGAAGACTGTGCTGATGGCTCTTGCCTGCTGCATCATCAGATTTGCCCCCTTCAAGACAGTGGGAAAGAAGGGCCCTCGAGGTTGAGCACTGGTAGGGTCTCTAGGAAAAACAACGACGAATGTCTAAATCATCTTTGTCTTGCCGATTTCCTTCCAAACCCATAAATCAAAGATTCTAGGGGAATACTCTGGAGACAGCCCTGGTTGGAGGGAGGAAGTGCTGAAACGGCATAAGGTCTACAAGCAGTTTTCTCTGGTTAGAGACCTACAAAAACTGACTTGGGGGAGGGAGAGAAGAGGGAAGGACAATCTGGAATTTCAGGTCTTGGGGACCTCCTTAGGGACTCTTCCTCCTTGGATCACTTGCTGTAAGTCTTTAGACAACCCTGAGCTGACAATCCAGCAGATCCAGCTCTCCCTCTAGGGACAAAGAGGGAGGATCTGTCATTAATGCTACTGTCTGCCCCTGTTCTTATAGATCATACCATGAAATGAATGGCAGTGGAAAATAACTCTTCGGTGACTGAATTTATCCTTGTGAGATTAACAAACTCCCGCTGCCCCAGTGTTTTATTCTTAATGTGGTCCCTGTGGGGAGAATTTGAACATAATTTTATGTCCCTAAATTCTCACCTTCATACCCCCACACACTTTTTCCTCTTCACGCTATCCTTCATTGATGTCTGCTATTCATTTGTCTGTACCACAAAAATTCCAATGGGCTTTATCTCAGAGAGGAACATCATCTCCTTTGTGGGATGGCCAACGTAGCTATATTTCTTTTGCATCTTTGTCAAAGAACCTAAAAATGGGGTCATTGTGGGAATAATGTTCTCAGCCAAGATGCTTGTAGCCGAGAGATAATGGACTAGTCGTTGATGTGAAACTAGAAAATGCACATGGCCCTAGAAAGGTCTGATTTTAGAATGGGATAAACAGGATCTGCTACAAAGAAACATTTAATCATATTCTTGTATTACAGCGATTATTTCCAGAGATAGTGAGGCTGCAGAGCTTTGGGACAAGGTTCCTTAGCGAAGCAAGACACACTCTCTAGAATTGCACATGTACTTTAAAAAGTCTGTTACATATTATAATATGTTTTTATATTTGGAAACAGAAAAAAATAAGTTATTTATATCACAAATCATAGAAAATGGATCTTTACAAAATCTTCATGTTTTGTGGGTTACTCACAAGAAAAATTTTCTCCGTCCATTTCTACTTCTCAAATGGTTCAAGGAAAAATGCTCCTTAAAGGATATATCTGATTCTGGAGAATGAGCTTACCTATGTGTGCAATTTTTATCTTTGTCAGAAGATACTACTACCTTCTGAAAAAGTTGAAAACACTGCTTTATAAGAACAGCTATAGAACGTATTTATACCAGTTAAGATCTTTACTTACATCTGACTAAAAAAATTGCTATAAGAATGAAGCACCCTCTCCCTCTCCCTCTCCCTCTCCCCACGGTCTCCCTCTCCCTCTCTTTCCACGGTCTCCCTCTGATGCCGAGCCGAAGCTGGACTGTGCTGCCGCCATCTCTGCTCACTGCAACCTCCCTGCCTGATTCTCCTGCCTCAGCCTGCCGAGTGCCTGGGATTGCAGGCGCGCGCCGCCACGCCTGACTGGTTTTTGTATTTTTTTGGTGGAGACGGGGTTTCGCTGTGTTGGCCGGGCTGGTCTCCAGCTCCTAACCACGAGTGATCTGCCAGCCTCGGCCTCCCGAGGTGCCGGGATTGCAGACGGAGTCTCGCTCACTCAGTGCTCAATGTTGCCCAGGCTGGAGTGCAGTGGCGTGATCTCGGCTCGCTACAACCTCCACCTCCCAGCCGCCTGCCTTGGCCTCCCAAAGTGCCGAGATTGCAGCCTTTGCCCGGCCGCCACCCCGTCTGGGAAGTGAAGAGCGTCTCTGCCTGGCCGCCCATCGTCTGGGATGTGAGGAGCCCCTCTGCCCAGCTGCCCAGTCTGGGAAGTGAGGAGCGCCTCTTCCCGGCCGCCATCACGTCTGGGAAGTGAGGATCGTCTCTGCCCGGCCGCCCATCGTCTGAGATGTGGGGAGCGCCTCTGCCCCGCCGCCCCGTCTGGGATGTGAGGAGCGCCTCTGCCCGGCCGCGACCCCATCTGGGAGGTGAGGAGCGTCTCTGCCCGGCCGCCCCGTCTGAGAAGTGAGGAGCCCCTCCGCCCGGCAGCCGCCCCGTCCGAGAAGTGAGGAGCCCCTCCGCCCGGCAGCCGCCCCGTCTGGGAGGTGTACCCAACAGCTCATTGAGAATGGGCCATGATGACGATGGCGGTTTTGTCCAATAGAAAAGGGGGAAATGTGGGGAAAAGATAGAGAAATCAGATTGTTGCTGTGTCTGTGCAGAAAGAAGTAGACATGGGAGACTCCATTTTGTTCTGTACTAAGCAAAATTCTTCTGCCTTGGGATGCTGTTGATCTATGACCTTACCCCAAACCCTGTGCTCTCTGAAACATGTGCTGTGTCCACTCAGGGTTAAATGGATTAAGGGCGGTGCAAGATGTGCTTTGTTAAACAGACGCTTGAAGGCAGCATGCTCATTAAGAGTCATCACCACTCCCTAATCTCAAGTACCCAGGGACACAAACACTGCGGAAGGCCGCAGGGTCCTCTGCCTAGGAAAACCAGGGACCTTTGTTCACTTGTTTATCTGCTGACCTTCCCTCCACTATTGTCCTATGACCCTGCCAAATCCCCATCTGCGAGAAACACCCAAGAATGATCAATAAAAAAAAAAAAAGAAGCATCATTTATATACATTTATTAGGTAAACTTACCTTATTGTAATGGATTTGTTTAAAGCTCTTACTCTACCATGCAGAAATCTGAAGGCCTCATGTCTGCCTCTATCATTTTCTCGCCTACATCCATTAAGATGCCTGATTAAATAGCTTAAAATGGTTTGATCTAAGTTTTGCTCAAGAGCACATCTTTAAAAAACTTCACATTTTACGAAAGACAAACAAAGATTTGCAGCATCCATGACTACAAACAAAAGTAAAATATGAGTCGCAGGTTTGGCATGCACCGTGCAGTCTGAATATGATATCCGTGTCACCAGCACCCCCTGGTGGAGGATAAGTCAGCAAAATGCCTGGCTCTGCTGTGAATCAACAGACTTATTTTACAGGCCCACTCTTTTCATCATCCTGGCAAAAATTTTCAATTTTTAAAATTAAAGCTATAATTTACATAAAACTGAATTGATTAAACATTCAAACGTAGGTTTAAAAACTAACATAATTCGAGATTTGAAGAACTGTTTCAGAATGTGAAGCATTTTTAAAACCAACTTGTGGATATTTGGAAGTATTGTATCTGCAAATTGGTGACTTTCTTGAAGATATGGGTACTGTTGTACATCTTTGTTATCCTTCTGTTATACCAGCTGTATAAATACAATTTTAATTGGAAGAAAGTTTTATTCATGTAGAAGCCCTATAAGAATACATGCAAAAGGCACAGAGGCTACAGAGCCTAAAAAGATGCTGTCAGGAGGGCAAGAGTGGAGAGTATCTGATGGTATGCTTTGCCTAGATGCAAGAACAGTTGGCCAAGTCAGGTACTCACTGTTCTATTTCACAGCCTGACCAAAGAGGCACTTCACCACCTGGACACCAGCTACAGCTGTCACATGGAGAGAAGGACAGAGACCATTGTGGACAAGAGGCCTATGGAGCTGCTGGTGGAGCTTATGTTTTGGGTGCCCAAGAAGCACAGTGCTCAGCCTTAGGTGCTGCCTTCTGTGGTGGTGGGAGACCAGGCCAGAAATCCTAGGGCCACTGCTCCAAGCAGAAGCCCTAGATCAGATACTTCTGTCCAAGTATCCCAGATCAGATACTTCTCTCCATATATTCTCTTACAGCAGCTGATGGAGCCTTTTGGTGGCATCTAAGCTGGTTGCAGTGTGGTTACTCTAACAATGCATACACTTTCTGCAAATTAGAGCTTCTTTGTTATTTTGTAATATTTGAAATAAAAAGTGAAATTGATTCCAAACTGATTCAACATTAAATACGCCAATGAAAGGAAAAAAACTCTTATATTTTTAAAATCTGATTTCAATAGCAAAGTTTTAAATGGTGGTACAAATTATTGAAAACTCTTACCACTTTTCATATATAATTTCTCATTGATGATGATTGCTGTGTTTTGATTGTTTGTCCCCTCCCAAATGCATCTTGAAATTTAATTGCCATTGTAGCAGTATTAAGAGACGAGACCTGTAAGAGGTGATTGTGATTAGGCCATGAGGGTTCTCCCCTCGTGAATTAATGCCTTTATAGCAAGAGTGGGTTTCTTACAAAAGGATGAGTTCAGCTCCAGTCTCTCTCTCTCTCTCTCTCTCTCTCTGTCTCTTTGCATTTCCCCTATGTGATAATACAGCAAGAAGGCTCTTGCAAGATGCTGACACCTCAATCTTGGATTTCCCAACCTCTAGAATCATTAGCCAAGAAAATTCTGTATAAATTACCCAGTCTTAGGTATTCTCTTATAGCAGGTCAATGTGAACTAAAACAGTGACTGTAAAAGAAACTAGAGATACACTCATTAAAAATTCTGGAAAAAGCATTGCAAATAGCTATTTCTAGCACAAAGCCTGATGTAAAGAATTTATGTTCCAAAAGAAAGTACAAATTTTCATTAATAACTATGAATATATATATTTTTGGAATATTATCTTATAAAATTATAGAAATTTTAAAATTACGCTGGGTGTGATGGCTCACATCTGTAATCCCAGGTGTGAGAGATTACACCTTGGGAGATTACACCTTGGGAGGCCAAGGTGGGAGGATTGTTTGAGCCCAGGAGTTCGAGACCAGCCTGTAAAACAGTGAGACCCTGTCTCTACAAAAATAAAAAAAGATTAGCTGGGTGTGATAGCAGGCGCCTGTACTCTCAGCTACTCAGGAGGCAGAGGTGAGAGGATTGCTCGAGTCCAGGAGGCCAAGGCTTCCGTGAGCCAAGATCGTGCCACTGTACTCCAGCCAGGGTGACAGAGTGAGACCTGGTCTCAAATATTTTTAAATAAATAAGTATAATAAAAAGAAAAAAAACAAAATGGTTGTTACCAGAGGCTGGGGGTGAGGGGAATGAGATGTTGGTCAAAGGGTGCAAAGTTTTAATTAGAAAGGAGGTATATGTTTTTGGAATCTATTGCACTGACTGGAGAGTATAGTTAATAATAATGCAATATATATTTCAAAATTGCTAAGAGAGTAGATTTTAAGTGTTTACACTACAGAAAATCAGTATGTGAGTTGATAGGTGTGTTAATGATCTTAATTTAATAATTTCATGATGTATACATTTATCAAAACACCACATTGTATCCCATAAATACATATAATAATTACTAATAAAAAATAAGAAAACAAAAGTTTATACATCTCTTTTAAGATGGATATTTTTGGCTGGGTATGGTGACTCACTCCTGTAGTCCCACCACTTTGGGAGGCCAAGGCAGGTGGATTACTTGATCCCAGGAGTTCAAGACCAGCCTGGGCAATATGATGAAATCCTGTCTCTATAAAAAATACAAAAATTATCCAATGGTGGTGGCATGTGCCTGTAGTCCCAGCTACTTGGGAGGCTGAGGTGGGAAGATCTATTGAACCTGGGAGGTTGAGGCTGCAGTAAGCTGTGATTGCAGCAAAGCAGGACACAGTCTCAAAAAAAAAAAAAAAGAGAATTCTGTATCCTGACTTAGGTGGTGGTTACATAAATATGTACATGGGATAGAATTGCATAGATTTGCACACACATACATACGAGCATGTTAAACTAGTGAATAAGGTCTGTAGTTTCGTTAACATTATTGAACCTATGTCAATTTCCTGGTTTTGCTATTGTCCTATAGTCGTGGAAGACATCGCCATGTGAGGAAACTGGGTGAAGAGTTCAAGGGAATCTACGTATGACTTTTGCCACTTCTTGTGATTCTAGTAATTTTAAAATAAAAAGGTAAAAAAATAGATGCCTTCTCACAAGCACAAATTCCTACCTACAGAGAAATTCTAAAGTCACACTGTCTTGAAATAACGGCCCATGAATAGTGATTTTTCTTACGGATTTGATTTTAACATGAAAGACAAAGACATGTTGAGTTAGAGCAACCCAAGGTAAATACATTTTTATGAAATAAAGGATAATTCTATGTTACACAAAATTTTTATTAAAAAATCTGAAATCAATTAAAAGTATCCCTTTTCTTTATGCCTATGAAGTATGCAAAAGTAAAAATGGATTATTTGAAAGATTATTTAAAAGGACTCACAATATTAAAAATGAGCATATAAACTTCACTAAATTATACTTACATTCCTGTTAAAGCTAATATACTACCTAGGATTATAATTAGCAAAAATTCTGACAATCATTACATTTACATCTTTATACATGAGAGCAGATGCTCTTTCTCCTATGCCCTGTGGATTGTATAATCCCTGATGAGAAATTTACCTCTACTACAACAAATTAGGCTGTAAACAAGGGCATACAATTTCTTCCCTGCAGAGTTTGTCATGGTAGGGGAGGTCCTGAGAGAGACTTACTGGGGGATATGTAATCAGGTCCAAAAGAATTGTAAGCCTTGAGCAAATGCCATGTGCTCTATGACATGGTAGCTCTGGTTTGAAGTGCAGTTTTCCAACAAACCCTCTTGGCAAATTTATAAATAATAGTTTGATCTACACCACAAAATGATTCCCAGAACATTCAGATTCTGAGATCTCTGCTCAATGCTTTTGCCAGTCAAGGGAGAAGAAGATTCTGTGACTACATCTGATCAACATAGATACCTTCACAGCCATTTCTTCCTCCAGGGCAGTGGAGGTGAAACACATATCAATGGTCAGCACTGAGTTCTCTGAGTGGAAGGAAGGTGAGTTAATCAAGTTTCTATTTCTCTCTCCTGGATGTTGCTGAAAAATGGGGAAAAGTATTCTATTCAATAGCAAGAAACTTAGTGGTATGGAGCTCTGACTCTTGGGCTTGCATTTTTCTCACACTGTTCTCTCTGTTGGCTTCATTCTTAGCCTGGTATCAAGATAGCAATAGCAGTTCCAAGTGACACATCCAGAACAGAGGAATGCCAGGAAAGGATATTTGTCTCTTTATTAAAAAATATATTGACATGTGCTATACATATAGAAGAGTTTAAGGGTCATAAAAATACCAGTTTGGTAAAATTTTACAAACTTAACAACTAATATAACTGTACCCAAATTAATTATGTTTCTCTTATGCCTTCCTACAAAGACCTGTGAAAGCACATTCAGCTTCCTTTCTTCATCCTGTCTAGCTAGGATGGAATAGAGGAGAATGTGTAGAAACACTTATGTGATTTGTATGTGGTGAATCATAAGGCTTTGACTACTAAGGGTCTTCTGTTATCACCTGGTGACTTCATGGATTCTTATAGTAAGGTATCTAGAAACCCTATAGGAGACCCCTGTCTAGGAAACAGAATATCGGTATGGTCTCTGCCCTAAAGGAATCCTCCCTTACCTGGTGGTCATCACAAGGAAACTGAAGTGTCTAGTAGAATAATGGAAACATAAGTAGAAACTAGGAAGTGGCCAGGCTCGGTGGTTCACACCTGTAATTCCAGCACTTTGGGAGGCTGAGGCAGGTGGATCATCTGAGGTCAGGAGTTTGAGACCAGCCAGACCAATATCATGAAACACTGTCTCTACTAAAAATACAAAAATTAGCTGGGATCGTGGCATGTGCCTGTAATCCTAGCTACCTGGGAGGCTGGACAGGAGAATCTCTTGAACCCGGGAGGCAGAGGTTGCAGTGAGCCGAGATCCCACCATTGCACTCCAGCCAGGGCAACAAGCGTGAAACTCCATCTTAAAAAAAAAAAAAAGAAACTAGGAAGTGAAGGGCCAGATGGAAGCGAGGGAGATGAGACACATCCACATAACCCAAGCTCAACAGCAGGTAGGCCTGTGCCTCAGCTACTCCACCTCTCTGTCTTCTAGTAAGGACAGGAGCAATTGTTTGTCACATTCAGTCTGTACAGACAAAAGACACTGACTGAAATGTTGAGGAGTGGGAGTGGCAGTACATTCAGAACATTCAGATCCCATGAAACAAAGAAGTCACCCAAATTCCTACAGCCTGAGTCCCCTCCTCATTAATGAGATTTTGTAAAAAGAAATCTGTGTTCCTAATAGAATTTTCTTTTGTCTTCCCAGATTTTTGAAGACAAAAAATGCTGGCTAGAAACAACTCCTTAGTGACTGAATTTATTCTTGCTGGATTAACAGATCATCCAGAGTTCCAGCAACCCCTCTTTTTCCTGTTTCTAGTGGTCTACATTGTCACCATGGTAGGCAACCTTGGCTTGATCATTCTTTTCGGTCTAAATTCTCACCTCCACACACCAATGTACTATTTCCTCTTCAATCTCTCCTTCATTGATCTCTGTTACTCCTCTGTTTTCACTCCCAAAATGCTAATGAACTTTGTATCAAAAAAGAATATTATCTCCTATGTTGGGTGCATGACTCAGCTGTTTTTCTTTCTCTTTTTTGTCATCTCTGAATGTTACATGTTGACCTCAATGGCATATGATCGCTATGTGGCCATCTGTAATCCATTGCTGTATAAGGTCACCATGTCCCATCAGGTCTGTTCTATGCTCACTTTTGCTGCTTACATAATGGGATTGGCTGGAGCCACGGCCCACACCGGGTGCATGCTTAGACTCACCTTCTGCAGTGCTAATATCATCAACCATTACTTGTGTGACATACTCCCCCTCCTCCAGCTTTCCTGCACCAGCACCTATGTCAACGAGGTGGTTGTTCTCATTGTTGTGGGTATTAATATCATGGTACCCAGTTGTACCATCCTCATTTCTTATGTTTTCATTGTCACTAGCATTCTTCATATCAAATCCACTCAAGGAAGATCAAAAGCCTTCAGTACTTGTAGCTCTCATGTCATTGCTCTGTCTCTGTTTTTTGGGTCAGCGGCATTCATGTATATTAAATATTCTTCTGGATCTATGGAGCAGGGAAAAGTTTCTTCTGTTTTCTACACTAATGTGGTGCCCATGCTCAATCCTCTCATCTACAGTTTGAGGAACAAGGATGTCAAAGTTGCACTGAGGAAAGCTCTGATTAAAATTCAGAGAAGAAATATATTCTAATTAGAAGCAGTAATAATGTAAAACGATTGAAGAACTTTAAATTTTTATTAGTGTGTTCCATGAAGAGATTTTGTTGTTTCTACAGATGGTGTTATGTGTGATTTAATAAACTTGTCTTATCATTTCTCTTATGAAATCATCTTGTCTCTTTTTTTGGTTTTGCATCTCTGGCACTTCTCACAATTTTACTAAATAGGTCATGGCATCTTTGTAAAAGGAACATATGCACTGATATTTTTCATTATCATTTTATATCCTTCCTCTCTCCTGGGCTGTTCTTAATTGGACATATATGGTAAATTTCATGAATTATAAAGATGTCAAAGTCACGGCTTTCTCACCTAAACTCAGAAGTGCCAAATATGATAGAAGCATTCTTATTTTTATCAACATTGTTACAGATATAGGCAGCTGGATTTGATGAAATGTCTCCATTACAAATGGTAGGTAGCTTAAAGCAGAATGAGCACCCCTTGATCTTGTCCTTTTGTTCTATATTGTCACCATTTTGCCTTTTATTATTCTGACTTTTCTTGTTCCCTTTGAGAATGGCAAAATTTGTACCACATGCCGTTTGCTTCTGAGAACCTCTATCAGTCCAGTGCATTTGATACAGCAGAGAATATGTGTGTCTCCACCTTTTATTGCCAAAGGCAGCATTTACAGAGGATGATTAGAGAAATAATACATGTGGACCTCAGGATTCCAATAAGTGGGTCCATTGTTTACATTATAAAACTTTCATTCATTGCTATCTAAAACAGCATTGAAAATTTTGAAAAAAGCGTGTAGTTCCTACTGTAAATGTTATTTTTTTACTCGTTATAGGTAAATACTGCACATTAAGTTAGCAGAAATATTTTACACAATGGTTACTTATCCAATGTGGTTTGTCATGAAAAAATGTATATTAATTTTAATAAACTATATTTCTACAAATATTTTGTGAGCCTACTTAAACTTTATCATCTCACCAACAAGACGTGAAACACATTTTATATAAAGGTTATTTCTCATAATTCCTTTATTTTGTCGAATTCTTTTCCTGTTCATGTATTTAAAATGTCAGATATATTGTAAAATCAAGAAATAGTTGTTGAATTGAAGTTTTTTTGTTTTGTTTTGTTTTGTTTTTGTCTTTTTTTTGAGACAGGATCTCACTCTGTCACCTAGGCAGGAATGCAGTGGTTCAATCATAGCTCATTGCAGCTTCCACCTCCTGGGCTCAAGTGGTTCTTCTACATCAGCCTATAGTTTAAGCTTTTTTTTTTTGTATGGTTTTGGTTCATTTTTAGATTAACTTTTGTGTATAGCATGAGGTAGAGGACTTCTTCAGCATCCTGTGTAGCTGGGAGTACAGGCACACACCATCATGCCTCCCTACTTTTTAAATATTTGGAGAAAAAAATTTAACTCCTGGCCTCAAACAATCTTCCTGCTTCATCCTCCCAAAGTGCTGGGATTACAGGTGTGAGCCACTGTGCCTGGCTGAACTGGAGTATCTTGCTTAACACCAACAATAAATGTATTACTTTAAGTAATAATTAATAACATATAAAAATAACGACAATTATATATCTGAACAAATTTGGGGTTTAATTTATATTTTTGGAGGTGGACTGTGGTAGCCCCAGAGAAGAACAGCTCAGCTCCCCATGAAGAGACCCATCGGTGGGGTGCATGGCTGACTGAAAGTCTATAGTTGCACTTCCTTGGATCCACCATGGTGTTTAGGCAGAGTACATTCTTACTCTGAGATGTCCTGAGCCAATGACTCAGCAGGGTGGGTGGGACTTAAAGAGAGCTGGCCAATTTCCATCTAACATGTATCTTTTCTGATAGGAAATCTTTGCTTAGAGACTTCCTATCCTCCTGACCAAGACTTTTTAGAACTGCTCTATGGTCTGAGATTTTCCTACCCGAACTTTCCATTTCTTTCTCTTTTCATCCCGGCTGAGGCCTTCATCCTGGTCTGAGGCCTTCATCACTGACTCTTGCTCCTTTCAGTTTTATCCTTAATAGGCATTTATAACAAAAAATGTGTTGCAAGTCTATTTCTTGACATCTCCTTCTAAGGGGACCCTAAATGACAAAGCAGACTTATATTAGCTGATTTTATTTATTTATTTATTTATTTATTTATTTATTTTTATTATTATTATACTTTAAGTTTCAGGGTACATGTGCACAATGTGTAGGTTAGTTACATATGTATACATGTGACATGCTGGTGTGCTGCACCCATTAACTCCTCATTTAGCATTAAGTATATCTCGTGCTAACCCTCCCCCCTCCCCCCACCCCACAACAGTCCCCAGAGTGTGATGTTCTCCTTCTTGTGTCCATGTGTTCTCATTGTTCAATTGCCATCTATCAGTGAGAATACGCGGTGTTTGGTTTTTTGTTCTTGCGATAGTTTACTGAGAATGATGATTTCCAATTTCATCCATGTCCCTACAAAGGACATGAACTCATCATTTTTTATGGCTGCATAGTATTCCATGGTGTACATGTGCCACATTTTTTTAATCCAGTCTATCATTGTTGGACATTTGGGTTGGTTCCAAGTCTTTGCTATTGTGAATAGTGCCACAATAAACATACGTGTGCATGTGTCTTTATAGCAGCATGATTTATAGTCCTTTGGGTATATACCCAGTATTGGGATGGCTGGGTCAAATGGTATTTCTAGTTCTAGATCCCTGAAGAATGGCCACACTGACTTCCACAAGGGTTGAACTAGTTTACAGTCCCACCAACAGTGTAACTATTTCTCCACATCCTCTCCAGCACCTGTTGTTTCCTGACTTTTTAATGATTGCCGTTTTAACTGGTGTGAGATGGTATCTCATTGTGGTTTTGATTTGCATTTCTCTGATGGCCAGTGATGATGAACGTTTTTTCATGTGTTTTTTGGCTGCATAAATGTCTTCTTTTGAGAAGTGTCTGTTCATATCCTTTGCCCACTTTTTGATGGGGTTGTTTGTTTTTTTCTTGTAAATTTGTTTGAGTTCATTGTAGATTCTGGATATTAGCCCTTTGTCACATGAGGGTTGTGAAAATTTTCTCCCATTTTGTAGGTTGCCTGTTCATTCTGATGGTAGTTTCTTTTGTTGTGCAGAAGCTCTTTCATTTAATTAGATCCCATTTGTCAATTTTGGCTTTTCTTGCCATTGCTTTTGGTGTTTTAGACATGAAGTCCTTGCCCATGCCTATGTCCTGAATGGTAATGCCTAGGTTTTCTTCTAGGGTTTTTGGGGTTTTAGGTCTAATGTTTAAGTCTTTAATCCATCTTGAATTAATTTTTGTATAAGGTATAAGGAAGGGATCCAGTTTCAGCTTTCTACATATGGCTAGCCAGTTTTCCCAGCACCATTTATTAAATAGGGAATCCTTTCCCCATTGCTTGTTTTTCTCAGGTTTGTCAAAGATCAGATAGTTGTAGATATGTGGCGTTATTTCTGAGGGCTCTGTTCTGTTCCATTGATCTATATCTCTGTTTTGGTACCCGTACCATGCTGTTTTGGTGACTGTAGCCTTGTAGTATAGTTTGAAGTCAGGTAGCGTGATGCCTCCAGCTTTGTTCTTCTGGCTTAGGATTGACTTGGTGATGCGGGCTCTTTTTTGGTTCCATGTGAACTTTAAAGTAGTTTTTTCCAATTCTGTGAAGAAAGTCATTGGTAGCTTGATGGGGATGGCATTGAATCTATAAATCACCTTGGGCAGTATGGCCATTTTCACGATATTGATTCTTCCTACCCATGAGCATGGAATGTTCTTCCATTTGTTTGTATCCTCTTTTATTTCATTGAGCAGTGGTTTGTAGTTCTCCTTGAAGAGGTCCTTCACATCCCTTGCAAGGTGGATTCCTAGGTATTTTATTCTCTTTGAAGCAATTGTGAATGGGAGTTCACTCATGATTTGGCTCTCTGTTTGTCTGTTATTGGTGTATAAGAATGTTTGTGATTTTTGTACATTGATTTTGTATCCTGAGACTTTGCTGAAGTTGTTTATCAGCTTAAGGAGATTTTGGGCTGAGACAATGGGGTTTTCTAGATATACAATCATGTCATCTGCAAACAGGGACAATTTGACTTCCTCTTTTCCTAATTGCATACCCTTTATTTCCTTCTCCTGCCTGATTGCCCTGGCCAGAACTTCCAACACTATGTTGAATAGGAGTGGTGAGAGAGGGCATCCCTGTCTTGTGCCAGTTTTCAAAGGGAATGCTTCCAGTTTTTGCCCATTCAGTATGATATTGGCTGTGGGTTTGTCATAGATAGCTCTTATTATTTTGAGATACGTCCCATCAATACCTAATTTATTGAGACTTTTTAGCATGAAGGGTTGTTGAATTTTGTCAAAGGCCTTTTCTGCATCTATTGAGATAATCATGTGGTTTTTGTCTTTGGTTCTGTTTATATGCTGGATTACATTTATTGATTTGCATATATTGAACCAGCCTTGCATCCCAGGGATGAAGCCCACTTGATCATGGTGGATAAGCTTTTTGATGTGCTGCTGGATTTGGTTTGCCAGTATTTTATTGAGGATTTTTCCATCAATGTTCATCAAGGATATTGGTCTAAAATTCTCTTTTTTGGTTGTGTCTCTGCCAGGCTTTGGTATCAGGATGATGCTAGCCTCATAAAATGAGTTAGGGAGGATTCCCTCTTTTTCTATTGATTGGAATAATTTCAGAAGGAATGGTACCAGTTCCTCCTTGTACCTCTGGTAGAATTCGGCTGTGAATCCATCTGGTCCTGGACTCTTTTTGGTTGGTAAGCTACTGATTACCTCAATTTCAGATCCTGTTATTGGTCTATTCAGAGATTCAACTTCTTCCTGGTTTAGTCTTGGGAGAGTGTATGCGTCGAGGAATTTATCCATTTCTTCTAGATTTTCTAGTTTATTTGCGTAGAGGTGTTTGTAGTATTCTCTGATGGTAGTTTGTATTTCTGTGGGATTGGTGGTGATATCCCCTTTATCATTTTTTATTGCATCTATTTGATTCTTCTCTCTTTTTTTCTTTATTAGTCTTGCTAGTGGTCTATCAATTTTATTGATCCTTTCAAAAAACCAGCTCCTGGATTCATTAATTTTTAGAAGGGTTTTTTTTTTGTCTGTATTTCCTTCAGTTCTGCTCTGATTTATTTCTTGCCTTCTGCTAGCTTTTGAATGTGTTTGCTCTTGCTTTTCTAGTTCTTTTAATTGTGATGTTAGGGTGTCAATTTTGGATCTTATTAGCTGATTTTAAAAATTAGCATAAGGCTGTGATAATCAAGACAGATTAGTTTAGTTATAAAGACAGGTGAACAAGTCTATGAGATAGAATAGCAGATTCAGAAACAGAGCCTCACTCACGCGGTCAATTGATTGTTGACCAAGGAACAGAGTAATTCCATTGAGAAAGAAAAGGCTTTGAAGCAATTGTTGCTGGATGTACTGCCTATCCATAAGGAAAACACCAAACCTTGACCTCTACCTCACACTATACACAAAACTTAATCTAAAGATGGACCAAAACCATTCACAAAAAAGCTTAAACTATGGATCTTCTAGAAGAAAACATATGAAATTGTGTTGGTGCAGGCATAGATTTCTTAGCATTATTCTATAAAGCACTAAGCCCCAAAGGAAAAAAAAAAACAAATAAACTTAATTAAAATGAGATTATCTATTTATCAGAAAAGTTCTCATAGGCAAACACAGGCTAGAAAAATATTTGTAACTATATATTCAATAAAGTATTGTGTCCACATATATATCTCAACTCATTACTTAAAATATATATCAAAAAATACCATTTAATAAACAGACAAATGATTCAAATGACATATCCGAAAGCAAGCTTTCGGGTCTCAAGCCAAGGATGGCTTTGAATATGGCCCAACACAAATTCGTAAACTTTCTTAAAACATTTTGCTATTTTTTGGTGACTTTTTAAAGGCTGATCCGCTATCATTGGTGCTAGTGTATTTTATGTGTGGCCTAAGATAATTCTTCTTCTTCCAATGTGGCCTAGGGAAGCCAAAAGATTGGACACCCCTGTCCTAAAGGAAGACATGCAAATCAATAAACACCTGCCAATGTGCTTAATTTGTTGTAATCTCTTAGAAGTATAGTGAATAGCTGGATAGCACTCCCTTACCAGCTGTTCCATCCCCCCTCATTGCATTGCCTGGAATTTGTGCCTATCCTCTTTCACTACATTACCTAGACTTTGTCCCAGTCAAGCATTTATCAGGCCTTCTGGTTGGTCTCCTTCCTTGTTAGTCCCAGCAGTCTCTGAGTGGAGCCTCTACTTGAGAGGGCCAAGCACAAGCTGTGGGGTATTTCCATACCTCAATTAATTCAAGCGCCAATCCTACAGGGCTTCTCTGACATTTGAGAATCTGGTTATGCATCCCCTTTCTATTTTTCCACGAGTTCTGGGAGTGGTAGCTATTTTCCACACTTTATTAGTCTTCATATTTTCTCTGTGCCAATGTTTTGCTCTTTCCCCCTTCCAATATCTGTATAACTAATTCTCTGTTTAAATATCCTCTTTAGGAAATGCATAGCATACTACTGGCTTTTTTGGCAGGATCTTTTCTGATACATGGAACACACTGTATGTGATTTTTATGGACTCTCTTGTCCATGTCATAGACTATAAACTTGTCCAGTTAGCACATGTCAAACCCTCGTGTCAGAGCTGTCCAACTTCCTGATTAGTCTGGAATATTAACGTAACTATAGTTTTTCTCTGCCAAAATGATTTTTAACAATCAATTTTTATCCCTGAAGTTATAATTAAACCTAGGAGTTCTGGGGGGCTCCTTTTCAAAAACTACATGTGAGAGCCCATCTAAGATTAAAACCCTGGTAGAATTAAGCAGGAGAAAAGTGAAAAGAGACACACTCACTCATGATATGACTTGATTCTACTTTGTCCAGCATACAAGAAGTCATCCACATCCTTGACTTACCAGTTTTACACACATTTTTGGTGTAAGCTGTCTTATTCCTATCACTTAAATGGAAAGAACCCCAATGTACTTTGTAAAGATTGCATAGTAGCACATTCTACATTGTATAACACAATTCTGCATAGTGTAGTCATTAAATAAAGCAATTTTCCATTCATAGATACCAAGTATAAAACTTGCTCCACCAGTATGCATTTTGACTTTGAAACAATTGATTATCCCTCTTAGTTTTGGATTTCTTATATGTGAGATAGGGGTGTCTGGTTCAGAGGGTGATCATAAGGGTGATATGAGAGAAGGTAGATAAAGAATTTAGGCTGGGCGTAGTGGCTTATACCTATAATCCCAGCACCTTGGGAGGCCGAGGCAGGCGGATCATGAGGTCAAGAGATTGAGACCATCCTGTCCAACACGGTGAAACCCCGTCTCTACTAAAAATACTAAAATTAGCCAGGCGTGGCGGCACGCACCTGTAATCCCAGCTACTTGGGAGGCTGAGGGAGAAGAATCACTTGAACCCAGGAGGTGGAGTTGCAGTGAGCCGAGATCACTCCACTGCACTCCAGCCTGGAGACAGAGCGAGACTCCATCTCAAAAAAAAAAAAAAAAAAGAATTTCACACTCTGATTGGCAAACAATAACTAAAGGAGGTACAAGTTTCAATTTTAATTTCCTGGGTTATATTTCTGATTAGACTGAGGAATCCTATGGGCAGGGCCTACTTTCTGTGTTCACAGTAATTATAACCTAAATGCAAAAAAGAAGGTCATTTGATGAAATAAATCAGTAGAATCTCTAAAATAAAGATAATTTATGGGATTTTAGGCCTCATGCATCATCAACTCTGAGCAGAATACATCTGGTCAAGTCCTGGGAGCTTGAAATGCCAATCTCCGGGCTCCTGTAAGCTTGGTGTGCTCCTAGGCATTGTTCTAGAAATGCAACTGGAGGACTCTGGTTAAAGATGGCAGTCTTAATGTCAATGCATTGTCTGTATTCTTTGCCCAAAGTCACTAATGTGATAGAAAAGGGATTTAAAACAAACCCACGGCCAATATCATACTGAATGGACAAAAACTGGAAGCATTCCCTTTGAAAACTGGCACAAGACAGGGATGCCATCTCTCACCACTCCTATTCAACACAGTGTTGGAAGTTCTGGCCAGGGCAATCAGGCAGGAGAAGGAAATAAAGGGTATTCAATTAGGAAAAGAGGAAGTCAAATTGTCCCTGTTTGCAGATGACATGATTGTATATCTAGAAAACCCCATTGTCTCAGCCCAAAATCTCCTTAAGCTGATAAACAACTTCAGCAAAGTCTCAGGATACAAAATCAATGTACAAAAATCACAAGCATTCTTATACACCAATAACAGACAAACAGAGAGCCAAATCATGAGTGAACTCCCATTCACAATTGCTTCAAAGAGAATAAAATACCTAGGAATCCACCTTACAAGGGATGTGAAGGACCTCTTCAAGGAGAACTACAAACCACTGCTCAATGAAATAAAAGAGGATACAAACAAATGGAAGAACATTCCATGCTCATGGGTAGGAAGAATCAATATCGTGAAAATGGCCATACTGCCCAAGGTGATTTATAGATTCAATGCCATCCCCATCAAGCTACCAACGACTTTCTTCACAGAATTGGAAAAAACTACTTTAAAGTTCACATGGAACCAAAAAAGAGCCCGCATCACCAAGTCAACCCTAAGCCAAAAGAACAAAGCTGGAGGCATCACGCTACCTGACTTCAAACTATACTACAAGGCTACAGTCACCAAAACAGCATGGTACGGGTACCAAAACAGAGATATAGATCAATGGAACAGAACAGAGCCCTCAGAAATAACGCCACATATCTACAACTATCTGATCTTTGACAAACCTGAGAAAAACAAGCAATGGGGAAAGGATTCCCTATTTAATAAATGGTGCTGGGAAAACTGGCTAGCCATATGTAGAAAGCTGAAACTGGATCCCTTCCTTACACCTTATACAAAAATTAATTCAAGATGGATTAAAGACTTAAATGTGAGACCTAAAACCATAAAAACCCTAGAAGAAAACCTAGGCATTACCATTCAGGACATAGGCATGGGCAAGGACTTCATGTCTAAAACACCAAAAGCAATGGCAAGAAAAGCCAAAATTGACAAATGAGATCTAATTAAACTAAAGAGCTTCTGCACAAGAAAAGAAACTACCATCAGAGTGAACAGGCAACCTACAACATGGGAGAAAATTTTCGCAACCTACTCATGTGACAAAGGGCTAATATCCAGAATCTACAATGAACTCAAACAAATTTACAAGAAAAAAACAAACAACCCCATCAAAAAGTGGGCAAAGGATATGAACAGACACTTCTCAAAAGAAGACATTTATGCAGCCAAAAAACACATGAAAAAATACTCACCATCACTGGCCATCAGAGAAATGCAAATCAAAACCACAATGAGATACCATCTCACACCAGTTAAAACGGCAATCATTAAAAAGTCAGGAAACAACAGGTGCTGGAGAGGATGTGGAGAAATAGGAACACTTTCACACTGTTGGTGGGACTGTAAACTAGTTCAACCCTTGTGGAAGTCAGTGTGGCCATTCCTCAGGGATCTAGAACTAGAAATACCATCTGACCTAGCCATCCCATTACTGGGTATATACCCAAAGGACTATAAATCATGCTGCTATAAAGACACATGCACACGTATGTTTACTGCGGCACTATTCACAATAGCAAAGACTTGGAACCAACCCAAATGTCCAACAATGATAGACTGGATTAAGAAAATGTGGCACGTGTACACCATGGAATACTACGCAGCCATAAAAAATGATGAGTTCATGTCCTTTGTAGGGACATGGATGAAATTGGAAATCATCATTCTCAGTAAACTATCGCAAGAACAAAAAACCAAACACCACGTATTCTCACTCATAGGTGGGAATTGAACAATGAGAACACATGGACACAGGAAGGGGAACATCACGCTCTGGGGACTGTTGTGGGGTGGGGGGAGGGGGGAGGGATAGCTTTAGGAGATATACCTAATGCTAAATGAGGAGTTAATGGGTGCAGCACACCAACATGGCACATGTATACATATGTAACTAACCTGCACATTGTGCACACGTACCCTGAAACTTAAAGTATAATAATAATAAAATAAAAAAATGAAGCAAATCAGAAGGGAAAAAAATAAATAAATATATAAAAATAAAAATGGTGTTCGCTCCCAGGGACAAAAAAAAAAGGTAGAATTAGAACAACTCCCAGATTTTGGAAATTAGACAGTAGATAAACAAGCAGTATCTGCACTGGCATTCTTACAACATCTGACCCTATGATAGAACTGGGAAAACCAAGAACACACCTGATTTACACACAGTCTCCAACATTCTCACAATTTCACGACAGCAGATATTTCTGGAAGAAGTGAGGATGGGGCAGAACAAATGGAATGCTTAAAAGTCTGTTTAAGAATTAATTAGAGGCCAGGCATGGTGGTTCATGCCTGTAATCCCAACACTTTTGGGAGGCTGAGGCAGGAGGGTTTCTTGAGACCAGGAGTTCAAGACCAGCCTGGGTAACATAGTGAGACCCCCTATCCCTACAAAAAATTAAAAAATTAGCCAGGTGTGGTGGCATGTGCCTGTAGTGCCAGCTACTTGGGAGGCTGAGGTGGGACGATCTATTGAGTCCTGGAGGTTGAGGCTGCAGTGAGCTGTGATTGCACCACTGCACTCATGCCTGGGTGACAGAGTAGGACCCTGTCTTTAAAAAAAAAAAAAAGAGAGAGAGAGAAAAAGAAAAAAAAGAAAGAATTCTGTATCCTGACTTAGGTTTTTGTTACATAAATAGGTACATAGGATTCAACTGCATAGATCTACACACACACACAGACACACACACACACACACACACACACACACACGCATGTTAAATTGCTGAATAAGGTCTGTAGTTTCTTTAACATTATTGAACCTATGTCAGTTTCCTGATTTTGCTATTGTCCTACAGTTGTGGAAGATGTCTCTGTGTGAGGAAGCTGGGTGAAGTGTCCAAGGGAATCTACATATACTTTTGCCACTTCTTGTGATTCTAATAATTTTAAAATAAAAAGGTAAAAAATATAGATGCCTTCTCACAAGCACAAATTCCTACCTACCGGGAAATTCTGAAGTCATACTGTCTTAAAATGAGGGCACATGATTAGTGATTTTTCTTACAGATTTGATTTTAACCTGTTAAAGGCAAAGACATGTTGAGTTAGAGCAACCCAAGATAATTAAATTTTGATGAAATAAAGGATCATTCTATGTTACACAAAATTTTATTTAAAAAATCTGAAATCAATTAAAAGTATCCTTTTCTTTATTCTTTTTCTTTTCTTTTTGCCTATAAAGTATGCAAAACTAAAAATGGATTATTTAAAAGGACTCACAATATTAAAAATGAGCATAGCAATAAACTTTACTAAATTATACATACATACTTGTTAAAGCTAACACTGCCGATAATTATAATTAGCAAAAATTCTGACAATCTTTATGTTTACATCTTTATACATGACAGCAGAGGCTCTTTCTCCTATGCCCTGTGGATTGTATAATCCCTGATGAAAAGTTTACATCTACAACAACAAGTTAGGCTGTAAACACAGGCATATAATTTCTTCCCTGCAGAGTGTGTCATGGTAGGGGAGGTCCTGAGAGAGACTTACTGTTGGTATGTAATCAGGTCTAAGAATTATGAGCCTTGAGCAAATGCCATGTCTCTATGACGGTGGACATGGTGGGTCTGGTGTGAAGTCTGATTTTCTAACAAACCCTCTTGGCAAATTTATAAATAGTTTGATCTACACCTCAGAATGATTCCCAGAACATTCAGATTCTGAGATCTATGCTCAATGCTTTTGCCAGGTAAGGGAGAAGAAGATTCTTTGACTACATGTGGTCAACGTAGATACCTTCACCACCAGTTCTACCTCCAGGGCAGTGGAGGTGAAACACATATCAATGGTCAGCACTGAGTTCTCTGAGTGGAAGGAAGGTGAGTTAATCAAGTTTCTATTTCTCTCTCCTGGATGTTGCTGAAAAATGGGGAAAAGTATTTATTCAATAGCAAGAAACTTAGTGGTATGGAGCTCTGACTCTCGGGCTTGCATTTTTCTCACACTGTTCTCTCTGTTGGCTTCATTCTCAGCCTGGTATCAGGATAGCAATAGCAGTTCCAAGTGACACATCCAGAACAGAGGAATGCCAGGAAAGGAGATTTGTCTCTTTATTAAAAATATATTGACATGTGCTATACATATAGAAGAGTTTAAGGGTCATAAAAATACCAGTTTGGTAAAATTTTACAAACTTAACAACTAATATAACTGTACCCAAATTAATTATGTTTCCCTTATGCCTTCCTACAAAGACCTGTGAAAGCACATTCAGCTTCCTTTCTTCATCCTCTGTCTAGCTAGGATGGAATAGAGGAGAATGTGTAGAAACACTTATGTGATTTGTATGTGGTGAATCATAAGGCCTCGACTACTAAGGGTCTTCTTTTATCACCCGGTGACTTCATGGATTCTTATAGTAAGGTATCTAGAAACCCTATAGGAGACCCCTGTCTAGGAAACAGAATATCAGTATGGTCTCCGCCCTAAAGGAATCCTCCCTTACCTGGTGGTCATCACAGGGAAATTGAAGTGTCTAGTAGAATAATGGAAACATAAGTAGAAACTAGGAAGTGAAGGGACAGATGGAAGTGAGGGAGATGAGACACATCCATATAACCCAAGCTCAACAGCAGGTAGGCCTGTGCCTCAGCTACTCCACCTCTGTGTCTTCTAGTAAGGACAGGAGCAATTGTTTGTCACATTCAGTCTGTACAGACAAAAGACACTGACTGAAATGTTGAGGAGTGGGAGTGGCAGTACATTCAGTACATTCAGATCCCATGAAACAAAGAACTCACCCAAATTCCTACAGCCTGAGTCCCCTCCTCATTAATGAGATTTTGTAAAAAGAAATCTGTGTTCCTAATAGAATTTTCTTTTGTCTTCCCAGATTTTTGAAGACAAAAAATGCTGGCTAGAAACAACTCCTTAGTGACTGAATTTATTCTTGCTGGATTAACAGATCATCCAGAGTTCCGGCAACCCCTCTTTTTCCTGTTTCTAGTGATCTACATTGTCACCATGGTAGGCAACCTTGGCTTGATCACTCTTTTCGGTCTAAATTCTCACCTCCACACACCAATGTACTATTTCCTCTTCAATCTCTCCTTCATTGATCTCTGTTACTCCTCTGTTTTCACTCCCAAAATGCTAATGAACTTTGTGTCAAAAAAGAATATTATCTCCAATGTTGGGTGCATGACTCGGCTGTTTTTCTTTCTCTTTTTCGTCATCTCTGAATGTTACATGTTGACTTCAATGGCATATGATCGCTATGTGGCCATCTGTAATCCATTGCTGTATAAGGTCACCATGTCCCATCAGGTCTGTTCTATGCTCACTTTTGCTGCTTACATAATGGGATTGGCTGGAGCCACGGCCCACACCGGGTGCATGCTTAGACTCACCTTCTGCAGTGCTAATATCATCAACCATTACTTGTGTGACATACTCCCCCTCCTCCAGCTTTCCTGCACCAGCACCTATGTCAACGAGGTGGTTGTTCTCATTGTTGTGGGTACTAATATCACGGTACCCAGTTGTACCATCCTCATTTCTTATGTTTTCATTGTCACTAGCATTCTTCATATCAAATCCACTCAAGGAAGATCAAAAGCCTTCAGTACTTGTAGCTCTCATGTCATTGCTCTGTCTCTGTTTTTTGGGTCAGCGGCATTCATGTATATTAAATATTCTTCTGGATCTATGGAGCAGGGAAAAGTTTCTTCTGTTTTCTACACTAATGTGGTGCCCATGCTCAATCCCCTCATCTACAGTTTGAGGAACAAGGATGTCAAAGTTGCACTGAGGAAAGCTCTGATTAAAATTCAGAGGAGAAATATATTCTAATTAGAAGCAGTAATGATGTAAAACAATTGAAGGACTTCAAATTTTTATTAGTGTTTTTCATGAAGAGATTTTGTTGTTTCTACAGATGGTGTTATGTGTGATTTAATAAACTTGTCTTATCATTTCTCTTATGAGATCATCTTGTGTCTTCTTTTTTGTTTTTGCATCTCTGGCACTTCTCGCAATATTACTAAAGAGGTCATGGCATATTTGTAAAGGGAACATATGCACTGATATTTTTCTTCATCATTTTCTACCTTTCCTCTCTCCTGGGCTATTCTTAATTGGAAAAATGTGGTAAATTTCATGAATTATAAAAATGTCAAAGTCACAGCTTTCTCACCTAAACACAGAAGTGCCAAATATGATAGAAGCATTCTTATTTTTATCAACATTGTTACAGATATAGGCAGCTGGATTTGATGAAATATATCCACTACAAATGGTAGGTAATTTAAAGCAGAATCAGTTCCCCTTGATCTTGTCCTTTTGTTCTATGTTGTCACCATTTTGCCTTTTATTATTCTGACTTTTCTTGTTCCCTTTGAGAATGGCAAAATTTGTACCACATGCCGTTTGCTTTTGAGAACCTCTATCATTCCAGTCCATTTGATACAGCAGAGAATATGTGTATCTCCACCTTTTATTGCCAAAGGCAGCATTAACAGAGGATGATTAGAGAAATAATACATGTGCACCTCAGGATTCCAATAAGGGGGAATATAGTTTACATTATAAAACTTCATTTATTACTGTCTAAAACAGCACTGAAAATTTTGAAAAAAAGCATGTAGTTCCTACTGTAAATGTTATTTTTTACTCATTATAGGTAAATACTGCACATTGTTAGTAGAAATATTTTATACAACATTTTCCTTATCCAGTGTGGTTTATCATAAGGAATGTATATTAATATTAATAAACTATATTTCTACAAATATTTTGTGAGCCTACTTAAACTTTATCTCACCAATAAGACATGAAACACATTTTATATAAAGGTTGTCACCCAGATAGGAGTGCAGTGATTCGATCATAGCTTACTGCAGCCTCCAACTCCCGGGCTCAAGTAATTCTTCCACTTCAGCCTATAGTTTAAGTTTTTTGTGTGTGTATGGTTTTGGTCCATTTTTAGATTAACTTTTGTGTACAGCATGAGGTAGAGGACTTCTTCAGCATCCTGTGTAGCTGGGAGTACATGCACACACCATCATGCCTCCCTAATTTTTAAATATTTGGAGAAAAAAATTTAACTCCTGGCCTCAAACAATCTTCCTGCTTCATCCTCCCAAAGTGCTGGGATTACAGGTGTGAGCCACTGTGCCTGGCTGAATTGGAGTACCTTGCTTCTTACACCAATAATAAATGTATTATTTTAATTAATAATTAATAACATACAAAAATAATGACAATTATAAATCTGAACAGCTTTGGGGTTTAATTTATATTTTTGGAGGTGGAGTGTGGTAGTCTCAGAGAAGAACAGCTCAGCTCCCCATGAAGAGACCCAGCAGTGGGGTGCATAGCTGACTGAAAGTCTATAGCTGCACTTCTTTGGATCCACCATGGTGTTTAGGCAGAGTCCATTCTTACTCTGAGATGCCCTCCACCAATGACTCAGCAGGGTGGGTGGGACTTAAAGAGAGCTGGCAATTTCCATCTAACATATGTCTTTTCTGATAGGAAATCTTTGTTTAGAGACTTCCTATCCTCCTGACCAAGACTTTTTAGAACTGCTCTATGGTCTGAGATTTTCCTAACCGATCTTTCCATTTTTTTCTCCTTTCGTAGGTGACTTTCATCCTGGTCTGAGGCCTTCATCGCTGACTCTTGCTCCCTCCAGTTTTATCCTTAATAGGCATTTATAACAAAATATGTGTTGCAAGTCTTATCATTTCTTGACATCTCCTACTTAAGGGACCCTAAATGGCAAAGAAGACTTACATTAGCTGATTTTAAAAATTAGTATAAGGCCGTGACAATCAAGGCAGATTGGTTTTGTTATAAAGTCAGGTGAACAAGTCCATGGGATAGAATAGAGACTCACGCCTGTAATCCCAGCACTTTGGAAGGCCAAGGTGGGTGGATAACCTCAGGTCAGGAGTTCAAGACTAGCCTGGCCAACATGGTGAAACCCCGTCTCCACTAAAAATACAAAAATTAGATGCGTGTGGTGGCACACACCTGTAATACCAGATACGTGGGAGGCTGAGGCAGGAGGATCACTTGAACCTGGGAGGTGGAGGTGGCAGGGAGGTGAGATCACAACACTGCACTCCAGCCTGGGTGACAGAGTGAGACTGTGTCTAAAAAAAAAGTAAATAAAAAAATATGAAGTTGAATCTACATGACGGCATGTACTGAGAAGAGATTTACAAAAAAAAAAAAAGGGTAAGAATATATAAAGAAATAAGAAAAAATATATGGAATTATAGGAAAAAAAGACAAACAATTACAGTACTTGATGAATTTTTTGTGAATAGTGTTTAAAAATAGGCTTAATAATGTAACAGAGGAATATTGTTACAACCGAATTTATAATTATAATCCTATTGGTAGGAATTGGTACTGGGGGCCAGGAAGAGGAGGTGTGTGTGTGTTTTCAGTGGTGGTGATAGACCTGAAAGGTCCAAATTCTCACCTTTAAGGAGTCTAAGTTAGAAAACCATTAGAGTAATCCAAATTTGAGATGAAGAGGGACTGTGAAAGCTGTAGAATTGAGAGAAAGTCCAGATCATTCAAAGAGGTGGATTCTCTGGGACTTGGAGACTGGAAGAGATAGTAAGGGAGAAGGAGGTGCTTAAGTTTACTTTGTGGATTATATGCCCAGACGGTGGTAAAAATAATTTATAAAATGATGACCTGAGAAGGAGCAGCCCTGGGAAGCCTAAGAAAACACTGAATTCAATTTGGAGCACTTTGAACTTGAGACACATAAATAGACATAAAGTAGAACTTTCTGAAAAACAGTTATGGCAGAAGTCCAGGCTATACAGACAGAGCAGCGATTCTCAAATATGGGCAATGTTGCTCCCCAGGTGATGTCTGACAATGGAGAATATTTTGATTTAGTGATTGGTGTGTCTGTATGGTAGGGGGAATATCACTGGCATCTAATGGGTGAGGTCAGGGATGCTGTGCTGTGAGTCCTGTGCTACACAGGACAGCCCCACAACCAAAACTTATCCAAAATGTAAAAAGTACCAAGATCAATAAATCCTGATTTTTATATATATGGATGAGTAACAGGGGCAGGGGTGCCAACACCTATCAGGTTCTTATTATGTGTCAGGCACATTTCTAACACTTTATGTGAATTAACTCATGTAATTCCCACAAAACGCTATGAGATAGCTTTTTAAAATTAGCCTTAGTTTGTAGATATGCATAGGTTATATAGATACAAATATACATACATAAGGGGCAGAGAAGTTCTATCACTTGTCTGAGGTCTCAGAGAAAGTTAAGAGGCCTGGATGTAAACTCAGCCTGACTTGAGGGCCTGCTCCCATTCCCTCAACCATTTTGCTACATCTCTATTGAGGTGGAATCCACAAGCATGTATAGTGTTAAGGGTATGATCTAATATTTTATTAACACAATCCAGGGGTCTTGTAGGAAGGTAGCAGAAATGGCAAGTGACTGTGCCCTGGACATTTCCCCTGTAGAATTGTGCATAGACTCCAGGGAATGATTACAAAGGGAGGAGCTCGTCCTTCTGCAGTGGGGATTAGGACTTCTTGATGCCAAATTATGAACTGAGTGGAACACTGAGTCCCAAAGGAGCCAATGCTGGATCTGTGACACAAGTTGTAAACACAGGTTTGGTAATATCTACCCTTGAGGGGCTCATTAAACTTGGGAGGAAATCATAAAACAGATAATAATTTTTTGTGCTTCTAGTCAACTTTCCCAGAACTATGCGACATGAAATAGATTTTTATTTGATTCATCTGACTTTAGGAGGCTCCTATAAGGTGGTTGTTTTCCTGCATGCAGGAGGAGAGAACCGTCTGGGAAAATTCTCAGACAGATATTATGGCATATTCCCTAGAATACCTCTTCTAGCATGTCGAAGATGGAGGTCTGTGCTGTTGGCAATTACCTCCTTCATCATCAGCAACTTTGACCCTCTCAGGACAGTGGGGAGGAAGGACCCTGAAGGTCCTGCAGCAGTTAGTCCTCCAAGGATAGAAAGGTAAGCATTGAATCACTTTTGTCTTGATAATTTCCGTTCAAACTCAAAACTATATAAATCAAAGATTCTGGGGGAATACCATCAATTCATTGCTTTTTCCAGCTTTAATCCTTAGAGAAGTTTGAGGAGAAGAGAGGGAATAATGTGCAGACACATTGGGAGGTCTACCAGCATTCTCACTGACAGACACAAAACATGATGGGGGAGAAGAGCAGGAAAAGGAAATTCTCAGGTATCATCATAGAAAATATTAAGCCTTGGATGCCTTGCTATGTGTCTTCAGACATCCCTGGGTTTGTAAACCAGGAGATTCAGCTCTCCCTCTGGAGATAAAGAGTGAGGATCCATTATTAATGTTTTCTACACCTGTTCCTACAGATCACACCCAGCAAGTTAATGGCTGTGGAAAATGACTCTTCAGTGACAAGAGTTTATTCTTTTGGGATTAACAGACCAGCCTGAGATCTAATTGCCCCTGTTTTTCCTGTTCTTGGTGAACTATATGACCACCATGGTGGGCAACTTGAGTTTAATTAATCTAATTTGCCTGAATTCACACCTTCACACTCCCATGTATTTTTTCCTTTTCAATCTGTCCTTCATTGATCTCTGTTATTCATTTGTCTTTACCCCCAAAATGCTGATGAGCTTTATTTCAGAGAGGAACATCATCTCCTTTCCAGGATGCATAACTCAGCTCTTTTTCTTCTGCTTTTTTGTCCACTCTGAGTGCTATGTGCTGACAGCCATGGCCTATGATCGCTATGTGGCCATCTGCAAACCCCTTCTGTACATGGTCACCACGTCCCCTCAGATCTGTTCTCTACTGATGCTTGGTTCATATGTGATGGGGTTTGCTGGGGCCATGGTCCACACAGAGTGTATGATGAAGCTCATCTTTTGTGACTCCAACGTCATCAACCATTACATGTGTGACATCTTCCCACTGCTCCAGCTCTCCTGCAGCAGCACCTAGGCCAATGAGCTGGTGATGTCTGTTATTGTAGGCACAGTTGTTATAGTATCAAGCCTCATTATCTTAATCTCTTATGCTTTGATTCTTTTCAATATCCTTCACATGTCCTCAGCCGAGGGTTGGTTCAAAGCCATCGGTACCTGTGGCTCCCACATAATAACTGTTGGCCTATTCTATGAATTTGGGCTGATCACTCATGTTAAGTTATCATCTGATTGGTATATGGGTCAGGGGAAGTTTCTCTCAGTGTTTTACACGAATGTGGTACCCATGCTGAACCCCCTCATTTATAGCCTCAGGAACAAGGATGTCAAACTTGCTCTAAAGGAAACCCTAAATAAAATTACAAACTGAGTAGAGCCAATGGTGCTGCCTTAGCCCCTCTCCAATTGCTGAGTCTTCCTCTCCTCTTCCTGCTCCTCCTCATCCGCTTCCTCCTAATCTTTTCTGCCTTCTCTCCATCTTTCTTTCTAAAGTCGTGTTGGCAAGGTTTCTGCCTTTCTTCTCTCACTATGCAATGTAACTGTGTGGGTCTATCCTTGGACAGAAGAGTTGTCCTTAGTCCCAAGGTGGCCCAAGCCTGAGCTTTGTTCCCCATACTGAGGCAGGAGAATAGCAGAGGAAGTCGGGGGTGAAGGGGACCTGTTGGATGTAGGTTAGCTTAAGCAATAGCAAAAGCAAAACCTGCAAGACAGCAGCAATAGAACATTTGAAATAAGGGCGTAAGCAGCAAGTAGATAAGGGAGTAAGCAGTGAGTTGGAACACGCAATGTAAGGGAAGTAAGTAGGAGGGACTTGTAGTAGCAATTTGGTCATGAGAAGTAAAAGTAAAGATGAGCAATTTGGTCAGAATAGATAAAGTAAGGTTAAGCAAGGATGAGCAATTAGCTTATGAGAAATAAGGTGAGGTTAAGGCACAGTGAGGGAAAGGCAAGGATGTGCAATTCATTTACGGGAGAGAAGGTGAGGTTAAGCAAGTGAGGAAAAAAACAAGTAAAAGGCCATGAAATGTAACAAACCAGGGCTGATACCACTTGCGGGTCAGCCTGATCCATTGCGGATCATACCGTGCTTAATAAACCACTTGCTGCTTTGCTATTTGCGTGTGTGTCATGTCCAATTCTTTGTTTATGGCACCAAGAACTTGGGACTTCACAACATTAGCCAGTAACAATACCAGGTGGAGATGCTGAGTTGATATAATTTCCTATCTAAGGATAACACTACCTACTATTTTTTCTTACGTGTCTCCCTCATCAAAGGTACGCCAGAGAGTTGGATGCTGTCTGACAAATTCATTTCTTTCTTGCCTTCTCTGAAACAATTACATAGAACCCTTTCTTGTTTCATTAGTTTTATTATTTATAACCACATTAAAAGAGAGAAGGGATGACAACAATTGTGGACCAGGTAAAGTTGTAAAAATCTCCAGAATTTTTCAAGGTTCTTTTAAGAGTGGTTCTTATTCTGGATTTCTGGCCTCGCATCTGTAATGGAACTGCACACCTTATTGGACCAAGGTTCTGTTCTTACAGATGTTTACAGACGGACTAGGTTCACAACTCTATCCACCTTTCTCAAATCCTACCAATAATGACAATACATTGGTCAACTTATATTTTGTTGTAATAGAACTGACATTGTTACCACCTTGTTTATGTCCACAATGTCTGTGGATTGTGATTGTGATTAAAAGTTTTACAATGATATTCTTGGCAAAAGAATAAAGTGCCATGTATAATGAGTGTCAAGATTTTCTGTCTACCTAGCCGTGTAACAGGGGTTCTTATCTGGAAAAAGAGATCCAATACTTCTTTTAAAAAGCAAACAAAATTATATGGCACAAATTTGCCTGATTGAGATTTATTCTTTTAATATGTAAATTTGACTTTTTTTTCCTCTGAGAATCAAAAATGGAATCCGAGGCCCATGCTGTGTGCTGCATTTTTAACAAATCACTTTACATTTAGATCTTCTTATCCTGTGCTCCAGATGAAGAAATGATATGTGACTTGCTCAGGGTCACACAGCTAATGACACAGAGCCTGATTTTCGAAACCATTGTTCGTCCCACGAATAAATTGAAAAAAAAAAAAGAAGTCTGGGAAGAAAGAGGGCTTCTGGGGAGTTATTTCAGAATGAGCTGGAAGATGGGGGTTGTATGGGAATGATGGTGCCCTCAGCCAAAATGCCTGTAGCACAGATATGCTCTTCAAGGCTTTGATCCACAACTAGAAAAATGAACTTGCCCCTGCAAAGGTTTGATTTTAAGGTAGGGTAAACAGGGTGAGCTCCAAAGACATGTTTCATCCAGATCTTTTAATAATAGTGATAATTTCCTAAATGGTGAGGCTGAGGAGTTTGGGTCAAGCCTTCCTGATAAGGCATGTCACTATTTCCATAGTAGTGTATGTACTGTACAGGCCCTATTAGATATTATGCCTTCATTTAGAAACAAAAATAGTTACTCATGACAAAAAGAATAGAAAATCAGGCTCTACACAGAAGTTAAACTGTCTATTGCCTACTATTGATAGTGGCAGGAGACAGAAATGTCTAGGCAGATAGGGGCAGGTCCCCGGTGAAACTCTACCTTCAAGCCAAAGACAGTTTAAAGCTTGAAAGCCAAGCTACAAGTGAAACCCATGGACTGGATTGAGAACCTGTCTTTCTGTCTGGTGCACTTTCCTCTGATCCCCACACTTCACCTATTTTACATTTACCTACCCTTTCCCAATTGATTTTCTACACCGTCTTCTGCCCACCTTTGAATGGTGTCTTTGCTTTAATCTTTTTTGTGTACTTACAAACCAATCAGCATGCACTCCCCATTCTGAGTACGTAAGAATCCCTGGATCCAGCCACACTGGGAGAGAAACCACCAGAATGCAGTGGTGGGGGGCCACCTCCCCACATCCCCTCTCGGCTGAGAGCTGTTCTCTCACTCAGTAAAATTCTTCTCTGCCCATCCTCACCCTTTGAATTGTCAGTGTAACCTCGTTCTTCTTGGACACAGGACAAGAGCTCAGGAACTGCTGAATGTGGGTACAATCTATAAGACAGGCAGGCTGAGTGGGTGGGGTGCCTCTAGCAGCAGGACACGGGCTGAGCAAGGCCCTGGCAGGGGGTAGGGGGTGTCACAGGCCATGGAAGTCCCCAGTTGGCAAAGTGGCTGAGAAAAATCCTGCATCATTACTACTGTGAATGAACTTAGGGCAAGATGCCCCTCAAAGGATATATCATAGGTAGGGGACATGATTAATTATCATTGTAATTTTTATGTTTATGCAGATACCATAATTTTTGAAAAGTTCTAAAACATTTTGTGAGAATAGCCTTAGAAGATGATATTTCTGGCTAAGTACTTTACTTCTATGTGATTAAAATTATTGGTGTTAGAGTGAAGAGTCAAGTTTTTATATTCATTATGATATTTATCTTACTTAATTTTGTTTAAAACTTTTATTCCTGAAGCAGAGTCTGAATGTCTGTATTTGCTTCTACCTTTCTTGTGCCTACATTCATTATAGTGCCTGGTTAAAGAGAAACCTTAAAACTGTTTGGTTTGGATTTTGCTCTAAAGCACATATTTTAGAAGTTCACGTTTTAATGACATAGAAAAAGGTGTATAAAATTCATGTCTATAACCACCCAGTACTTAACAAAAAAGTAAAATGTGAATTGCAGGCATAGAATATACATTGTGATCTGAGTACTGTATTGTAGTCACCAGCACTCCTTCATGGAAAATGAATCAGCAACTAGCTTGACTTAGTTCTGTGAAGTCAACAGGCTTATTTTACAGGTTGAATTTCTTGTGTTGACCTGGCAAGTGTAACTGATTTTTTTAATTAAAACCATTTCTAATAATATTTATAACTAATGTTTAAATTAAAGCCTATTATCTTTTAAAATTAATGTAATGAGGCCAGGCGCGGTGGCTCATGCCTGTAATCCCAGCACTTTGGGAGGCCGAAGTGGGAGGATCACCTGAGGTCAGGCGTTCAAGACCAGCCTGACTGACATGGAGAAACCCCATCTCTACTAAAAATACAAAATTAGCCGAGGGTGGTGGTGCATGCCTGTAATCCCAGCTACTCAGGAGGCTGAGGCAGGAGAATCACTTGAACCTGGGAGGCAGCGGTTGTGGTGAGTCGAGACGGCTCTGTTGCACTCCAGCCTGGGCAACAAGAGCGAAACTCCATCTCAAAAAAAAAAATTAATGTAATGAGAAAATTAGACATAAAATAACTTTCGAATGTATAAGCTTATTTTACAATTACTGAATGTTTACAAGCTTTGTATGTGTAATTTGGTAAAGATATAGCTATTGTCAAATACTTGTTTCTTATTTGTTGTATCACAGTTTCTCCATGCACACAATTCAAACTGGAAAAACATACTAACATATGTTAAAGACACATAAAATCTTTCTTTTTTACATAAAAGCTTAATTATATTAATTACATATATTTTAAACACAGATTATATTGCATTAACTTAAAATGGCAATATCCCAAGGTTTAACTTTCAGGAAAAACGTTAAGTTAGAAATTATATTTTGAGGTTCATGAAATGGTGCCTATTGACCAACCAAGTTCACTTCATCACCCGAAGGAATTGAAATGTTACCAGGTCCTGGATTTGACATAGCAGCAAGGCTGACTTATTAATGAAAAGGTTTTGAGGTACTTCTTTCCAAACGTCTCATTCTTTCTCCTTTATGAAAATAGATTGGGACAGAGCTTTCTAACTACTGCACAGCAGATAGAATGGCAAAAGGGGTTTGAGGTTAAGGTACTGAGCCTAGGATAGCCAGGTTGGGAATTTCAGTTTGGTTGCTTTGGCAGATTTAGCTTGGGAAGGGCTCCTGGGTGGTCAAGAGTAAAGAAGTATGATGTGACAGCACAGCATGTCTTTGGCAGGAGCAAGAGCAGTGAGACAAGATAGCACTCATTGCTCCACTTTAAAATTCCAACCAAAGAGATGCTTCACCCCTGGATACCAGCTACAGCTGTCACATGCAGAGGGGGACACAGCTTATTGTGAACAAGAGGCCCATGGGTTTGCTGACGGGGTTTTCAGGTGCCCAAGAAGTACAGTGCCCAGCTTTAAGTGCTGCTCTCTGTGGTCTGGACTCTCTGTTCCCAGATCAGATACTTCTGCCCATTTCCAGCTGATATATTCTGTTAGTATCATCTGTTAGCATGACTGGTCTAAAAATGCACAAGTTTACTGCAAATTAGGGTATCTTTGTTATTTGGAAATATTAAGTAAAAAAGTGAACTTGGTTCCAAACTGCTTTAAAATAAAATTTGTCAATGAAAGAAAAGACCATTTGCATTATTTGAATGGGATTTCAATTTTAAATATTTGGCTGATTTTTTCAAAACAATTTTAAATTCTGTTACTTTTACATTCAAATTTGTTGTTGGTGGTGATTGTAAATATTTGTTAGTTATAATTACTAAGAATTCTCATGCAGTAATTACAAGTAGTTGTTTTATTCACAAAACCTGATAGAAAAAATTACTTTCCAGGAGCAAGCACCAATTTTTGTTGATTATTATGAAGATATTTTATTTGAAAATGTTATCTAATAAAAATAAAACATCACAATTCTGATTTTAAGTGTATTTTGGGTTTTAAATAATTTACATTAATGTGGTACATATTGAAAAGACTCTGTTTCCTTATTTTATCAACAAATTTATCATATGCATTGAAAAGTTCACAAAATATTCATTTATAATTAAATGAATAATGAAAGCAGTCAATGTAATCACTACCAAGTTCATAAAGCATTGCCAGACATTTTTATTAAGTATTTTTCACTGCATTTTTCCCCAAGTGATTGTTTAGGTCTCAAACACCTAATCCAACAATATGAGATAGTTAAGTTGTTAAATAGCTTAGTCCAATTTAGGGCCAGTGGACTGGGTGCACTCACTATATAGTTCAACTTTTGATGACAGCCGAAGAAATATTTGTATATTTAGCATTAAGAAAGTGAGGTGCTATATATTTCAGTTTTGTGAGTTTTTGTAAGTCTCTTTCCATTACATATTTGGTAGACTTTAACATTATACAGAATCATGTAAATAATGTACACAGGACAGAAAATACCTAGAGGAGATTAGATAGCTACATATATTGTCACAGGTATTTCCCTCAGAATTTTCCTGTGCCCCTTTGATTCACCTCCTTTTAATTCTTATACCTGAACCGTTACACTTGTCCATTCAAAATATGTTAATGTGTCAAAATATGTTAATAGCCTTTTTTTTTTTGGTCTGGATCTTTCTTATAAAATAAATAATAAAATATGTGGTCTTTGTGACTACTTTTTCTCATTTAATATATTTTCAAGCTGTATCATGCTTTAACTTGTAAGGATACTTCATTCATTCACCACTACCCACTCTTTTTCTTTGCAGAATAATATTACATTGTGTGAATATACCACGTTTTATTTACCAAATTACTAGTTGGTAGATATTTGGTGTTTTTTCCTACATTTTGACAATTATAAAACAATGGTGCTATAAATATTCATATATAAGGTTTTATGCGAATGTATGTTTTTTATTTCTCTGATGTATATAACTAAGAGAGAAATTTCTGAGTGAAGCAGTAATTCTGTTTAACCTTTTGAGAAACTGCATGACCATTTTCCAAAGTGGTTGCAGTCAGTTGGCATTGCCACCAGGAGTGTACAAAGGTTTCAGTTCTTCACATCCTTACCAACACGTGGTTTTATTATTTTTAAAAAATTATAGCCATCTTTGTGTGTGTGAGGTCATATTTTACTGTGGTTTTGATTTGAATTTCCCTAATTACTAATGATATTGAACATCTTTTGATGTACTTATTGGCCATTTGTGTATATTCTTTGAAACGTCTATTCAGATCATTTGCCCATTTCAAAATTGAGTGTTTTATCTTTTTATTATTGAGTTTTAAGTGTTATTTAGGCATTCTGCATACTAGGTCTTTTAAGATTATATAATTTGCAAATATTTCTCCCATTCTGTGGGATTTTTCACTTTCTTGATAATGTCTTTTGGGAATGACCCTTATTTTGAGGAGTTTGAAAACATTCAGAGAGTCTGCGGCTTTTTGGCTAATAAAAAACCCTCTATAAATATACAATGATTTCCTTTTTCTTTTAATTACATAAGGACTGTGTGGGTAAATATGAACTCAATGTATACATATATTTCACATATATGTTTTTATAATTGTTTGAATATGCTAGGGCAGCTGATTTGATTTAAAGCTTCAGAGAGTAACTCACTTAACAAATAACAAGTATACTCTATAGTTAAATTGAACAAACACAATTTCCTATTATGAACATCTTTCACAAGCTTCACTGAGGTAGAAGATGTTGGTGTCCTGCCCTATAGAAGACATTGTTCCTTCCCTTCTAACGCCACAAAATTTCTCTCGTGATAGTGGCTGAAAATAAGAGATAATCATTTGACAGTTCTCCCTGCAATGAGGTTGGCTGTGTGTTTTATTTCTGACTGATAAGACATAGAGGGAAGTCATTTTTAGGCTTCTGGAGAAGACTTACCTCCGAATAAAAAGAGAGGGATATGTGAGGAGAGTTATTCTGCATTGTTTTCTTGCTTTCTTCTTTGGATACAGGTGATTGTTGGAGCTATAACAGATGTTTTGTGAACATAAAGTGAAAACCCCGAGGAATAAGGTCAGCAGACTGAGGACAGTGGAATGGATGAGGATGGGTCTTTGATGAGAGGGTTTAGTTGCTGAATCAACACTGGGACACTCTGCCTCTAGATTTATTGTTATGTGAATGAAATGAGCTCCTATTTTCAATAGCAAAGACTTGGAACCAACCCAAATGTCCAACAATGATAGACTGGATTAAGAAAATGTGGCTCATAGGTGGGAATTGAACAATGAGATTACATGGACACAGGAAGGGGAATATCACACTCTGGGGACTGTGGTGGGGTGGGGGGAGGGGGGAGGGATAGCATTGGGAGATATACCTAATGCTAGATGACGAGTTAGTGGGTGCAGCGCACCAGCATGGCACATGTATACATATGTAACTAACTTGCACAATGTGCACATGTACCCTAAAACTTAAAGTATAATAAAAAAAAATAAATAAATAAAATAAAACAATAAAACAAGAGGACCAAGAAAAAAAAAAAGAAATGAGCTCCTATTTTAAAGAGATTCTGTAATTTGAAGCAAATTTTTTTCTAACTGATAATGTGGGTTGAAAGTTACATTTCTTAGAAAGTAAATAAAACATATAATTTTTACAGATGAACATCGTGGAGTACATTCTTAATTGTTTTAGGTAAATATTGAAGAGAAAACACTATAATTTATTATGATGAGAAGGAGAGCTTGTGAAGATTTAAACTTAAATTTTAAATGTAATCTCCCCTGGCTAGTGTTTTTTGTTTTTTTGTACACTCTTACAGACTCTGAAACATAAACATTGTCCAATATCCTTTTTCCCATATTTGTTGAGAAAAATAAGAAATTACACAATATCATATGTGCTCAAAATACTTCAATTAATCAGAATAGTTCTTTCATGGCTTCTCATCAGCTATAATCTGTCTGACTCAATTTCCTTGCTAATTTTAACTGAGACTGAAAATTAGTTTGAAACTTACACTTTTATTATATAGCTTCAATTGTTCAGTGGGTAATGGAGAGCCACTGGAAGTTCTAAAACTAGGGAAGGCAGAGCTGCACTTCCAGAGCTTATTTTAGCAACAGAATAGGTGGCTAAACAAGAGGAACTATGTGGAAAAATGCTAGAATAACAGTTAGAAGCTACTACAATTCAATAGCACAGTTCCGTTAAAACCTACAGAGTGTCTGAACTTGTGAGGTGGCTGAGAGAAAGGCATGGAGGTCATTGTGTTTGTAGCCTCTAAGCATCTGAGAACCATGGAAATTCGATTCTGAAGACTTTCAGCCAGATAACATACTTTTCATAATTTTAAAGAGGGGCTGCTATGTACTCTTCTCCGTACTTAGCATTAGAAGCAAAGTAGTAAACAAGTCTGAAGTGATCTTTGTCTTTACAGAACTTATAGTTTTTAGAGGAAAACAAAAATTCAAGGGGAAAAATCCTGATGGAGAATCTGCCAGAAGTTATGAGAACACAAATAATAATAGTTGACATTTACTGATTATTTGTCATGTGCCAGGGGCTGTTTTTACCATTGCACTTATTTCATTTAATTGCCACCACCCAGTGAATGAGATATTATTATTAGTATCCCTATTTCAGAAACTATAAACCTGAGAAAGTAAAAACCTTCTTTAGAAGTGATGTAAGCCATTCAAAGTTATTTTGGTGATGTCCTAGGAGAGACAATACCTGAAGTGAGTTACTATGGTCCTTCAAAGTTTTTACATAAAAACACGAAGTCTCAAAGTAGACCTTATGGGAAATTTCCGCTCAGCATGAAGGAAGAAAGACAGAAAAAAACCAAAACAATGATTTCCCTTCAGAGATCAAGGTGGTGGGGATGTGGGAGTTTATTTCTGGCTCTGCTTTGCATTATGTAGGAGCCCTAGAGGGAAGGGAAAACTTGAGTAAAAATATTGAATCCCTAAGGAAGTAAAGACAGATCATGATGCAGGGTGTAAATACAGTTCCGTTATTTTCTATTACAGCCAGAATCTGTTCCCTGGGGAGGGGGGCTGAGTAAGCTTCTACCCTTTTTATAACCAAGCACATTATATCATTAAACTAATATTAAATCTACTATGTCTTAGCAAGCGACTAAACGCGTAGTAATCAAGACTTCATTTTTTCTCTACTGCTTGAGGGGAATCAAAGTCATAATCACACATAAAGACATACAAGAAATTAAGTCTGGACTGTATGTTCTTAGAATCAAAGGAACAAATACCTGGACACCCGAAATTACTTTTCCAGAATCACAGGGAAATAAGAAAGTGAAAGAAGCATCAAGGTATTCTGGACTAAGAATGGTGAGTTTCTGAATTCTATTTACATTAGTGTTTTCTTTTATTGAGACGGAAGTCCAGGGATCTAAAATCCACCATTTCCCCTCATTTTGAGCAATCCTGAAACTCAAATGAAATTGGAGAATGTGTTTGAAGGGGGAGCAGAGAATGTTCAGGGACACTAGTAAGCTCAATGGTTGCAGTATTTACTGAGTAAGTTCCCTTTCCATGGACAGAGCCCTCTCTGTCCTAGATTTATAACTTTTTCACTGTGACTTGGGACAGTAATGTAACCTCTCCTAGACTCTGGTCCCCTACTAGTGGATTGGAAACAATGTTTTGGTTTTCACTGCATCCGACTAATTTCATTAGAGGCCAATGTCGGTCGCTTAGGCCTCTGCCTCCAATTTTACTTGTGAGGGGAGGGCTCAAATGAATGAAGAAATGATGAGACGGGAAAAAAACGATTCTGTCCTGGTCCATCCATCTCCCTTATCCCTTATTTCCAGCAGTCATGCTTGTATATGGCAGCACTGGCCTTCACTCTCTAGGGTTAATTGGCGGTGTTCTGTAAAGGCAGATTCTGTGGGTACAGGTTAGGCTAATCTCAGGCAGACCCATTGTGGAAAGAGCTGGGTTGTCCTCTAATGCAACCGTTTGTTTTTTTCCCCTGTTTCCAGAGATTCCCTTAAAGAAGAATGGCACCTGGAAATGGCTCTTTCGTGACTGAATTCATTCTGGCGGGATTAACACATCAGCCAGATCTCCAGTCCCCTCTGTTCTTCCTGTTTCTAGTAATCTATGTGGTCACTCTGTTGGGAAACTTGGGCTTGGTAACTCTAATTGGGCTGAACTCACACCTTCATACCCCCATGTACTTCTTCCTCTTTAACTTGTCCTTCATAGATCTCTGTTATTCTTCTGTGTTTACACCCAAAATGCTAATGAACTTTATTTCAGAGAAGAATATTATCTCCTTCAAGGGGTGCATGACCCAACTTTTCTTTTTCTGTTTTTTTTGGTCATTTCTGAATGTTATGTGCTGACGTCAATGGCGTATGATCGCTGTGGCCATCTGTAACCCACTTCTGTATCACATTGCCATGTCTCCTACAGTGTGCTCCAGCCTTATGTTTGGTTCCTATTTGATGGCCTTTTCTGGTGCCATGGCCCACACTGGATGCATGCTGAGACTGACTTTCTGTGATGCGAACACCATCGATCACTACTTCTGTGACATCCTCCCTCTGCTCCAGCTCTCCTGCACCAGCACCTACATCAATGAGCTGGTGGTTTTCACTGTGGTTGGCATCAACATCATTGTGCCCACTGTTACCATCTTTATCTCTTATGGTTTCATCCTCTCCAGCATCCTCCATATCAGTTCCAAGGAGGGCAGGTCCAAAGCTTTCAGCACTTGCAGTTCCCATATAATTGCTGTTTCTCTGTTCTTTGGATCAGGTGCATTTATGTATCTCAACCCATCTTCTGCTGGGTCCATGGATAAGAGAAAATTATCTTCTGTCTTTTATACAAATGTGGTTCCCATGTTGAACCCCTTAATCTACAGCCTGAGGAACAAAGATGTTAAATTTGCCCTAAGAAAAGCCCTGAGTAGTAGGAAACTTTGATAAGTAATAGTATGTGTCTGTGTGTATAGTCACAAGACAGGGATATTCTGTTTGTTTAATTATAATATTATAGTAGCAGCCTTCTTATCCTATTTCTTTTTACCATGGTAAAAAAAACTGAGTCTTCTTTAAATTGATTATAATTTTTCTGGAATAGATTTCTTCTTTTCTCTATAATTTTCACTATTAAAAAAAATCTTTTCACCATGTTTTCAGTTTAGGAATAACATTAAGGAAGAAATTTATTTCTATGTTTTTTCTTTTCCATTATGGACTTCCTTTCTCTTCTGGCGAAAGACGAATTGTTATGCAAAGAATCAGGTAAAGTAGAACTAGGGTGACACTGTGCCACTCACTGGGTGTGGGTTTTCTTTTTAAAAATGTTATTATTGTATTGGTACATAATAGATGTATGTATTTTCAGGGTACATATGAGAATTTAATTCATTGGTGTGGGGTTTCTTATTTTCTACTCATAATATCCCACTGGAAGCTTGAATCAGATAATTTTGTTTTACTTCTGCTTGTACATCATCCAATGGCAGGAATGTGTTCCCTTCAAAAGCCAGTGTCACAGATATAAAAGGCTCCATAATGATCATCCAATATAACCTGTTTTGCAGCTGCATACCATGCATTTACCTTCTTTTGGTAGATATTTCTTATTTACCTTTGTATACCCAAACAGCACAAACTCAATTGCTAATATGTATTTATTGTACGGAGACGATACCGATGCTCAGAGAAGTTAATAACTTACTTAAATTTACAAATTTACAGAGTTTCATAATAAAAAAGTCTAGAATATACTATTTATTCCTAATTTCAAGTCTACTACTCTCTCAAGTATGCTTTTGGTCTACTTCATTTTATTATTTTTATTTCCACAAATATGAGTATGAAAAATATTTCTATTTTAAAATTTGAATGTGCTTTCTCTTTGGATGATACATAAATCTTTCTCCAAGTTGTTGCTGCTTTATCTTTTGTTTAGAAAAACAACTGGATGATTCTTGTTGTTGGGACAGATCTGGCCTTTGAGGCTAGGATAGTTGGAAGATGATTGCTTCAACTAGGGAGCTGCATTTTTCTACAACATTAAAAAAAAATTGAGATGATTTCAAGGTCTTGTAATTCAGAGAACAGGATCAGGGAGAGAAAGGAGCCCAGCAACATGACATTTAGGCCAAGACCCAAAGAGGCAAATGGCAATTAAACAAGATTTCCCTTTGTAAGGAACTATCAAAGATGCTTCAGATACCACACTGCAATCTGAATTTGTATCTTTCCTGTAGAGCACTGTAATTGTTGTACACTGTTCATTAAATCTTTGATAAAATTTACCATCTGCAATGACAATACATTAAAAGTGTTCAGGCAAATGTTAGAAGAGTTATGGTACATTTGTGGTAAGCCATATAGAGAGAGGACCATAACTTTAGGAGCTAGTATAGTGAGGGGTAATTGAAACTCAAGTTAGAAAGAAGGAATCTAGAAAGAAAAATGATGAATGAATGAAATCCCCTTCCTATGACTCTCCTCCCTTTTCTGGAAGGCTCTAGAAAAATTATGGAGATAAAAAATTTCTCTGGATGGGATGAAAGCTTAAGTTATTTGATATTAAAGAAAGATTAAAACCACAGGTCTTGATGGCCCAGGAACAAAATGGTCATACCCATTTTTATTGGCTTTCATATACTACTACCTTATGAATTTTAAGATACAAAACCCTCAAATTACTGCTGGGAGATTAATAACAATTTGAAGGAAACATTAGCTGACAATGTTTTTGAAATAATAGGATGTTGGATTATTTTTCCTTTGAGAAAATAGGCCTAAAGATGACCACTCTCAAAATTCTTAATCTGATTTATCAAGTAAAAATTTAAACATTTGAAGAATAATTATAATAGCATTTATTATTTTACTATTTTTAAAGTCTCCACTCAATATTTAGTAATTGTGAAACTTATCACGTGGTTTGCTGACTTTTTTTTTTTTTTTAGATGTTAGGCATTGCTAAATCCCTGACTCTTGATTTTAAAACAGCATTCATATCTCATCCCCTGACCCCAGTATCAATATACTTGATTTTTTTATTATACGTTAAGTTCTGGGGTTCATGTGCAGAACATGCAGGTTTGTTCCATAGGCATACAGGTGCCATGGTGGTTTGCTGCACCTATCAACCCATCATCTACATTAGGTATTTCACCTAATGCTATCCCTCTCCTAGCCCCACACCCCGTGACAGGCCCCAGTGTGTGATGTTCCCCTCCCTGTGTCCATGTGTTCTCATTGTTCAACTCCCACTTATGAGTGAGAACATGTGGGTTTTGGTTTTCTGTTCTTCTGTTAGTTTGCTGAGAATGATGGTTTCCACCTTCATCCATGTCCCTGCAAAGGACATGAGCTCATGCTTTTTTATGGCTGCATAGTATTCCATGGTGTATATGTACCACATTTTCTTTATCTAGTCTATTATTGATGGGCATTTGTGTTGGTTCCAAGTCTTTGCTATTGTGCATAGTGCCGCAATAAACATATGTGTGCATGTGTCTTTATAGTAGAATGATTTATAATCCTTTGAGTATATACCCTGTAATGGGATTGCTGGGTCAAATGTTATTTCTGGTTCTAGATCCTTGAGGAATCATCACACTGTCTTCCACAATGGTTGAACTAATTTACACTCCCACCAGCAGTGTAAAAGCCTTCCTATTTCTCCACGTCCTCTCCAGCATCTGTTGTTTCCTGATAGGTGCAGCAAATCACCATGGCACATGTTTACCTATGTAACAAACTTGACAATATTGCACATGTATCCCTGAACTTAAGATAAAAGAAAATTTAAAAAATCAAAGGCAAAGAATTTTGAAAAAAGCAAGAGAAAGTCATTTGTCACTTTCAAGGAGGGCTCCACAAGACTACTGGCAATTTTCTTAATAGAAACTTTGCAGGTTAAGAGAGAGCTGGATGATATAGTCAAAGAAAATATTAACAAAGAATGACTTACTCAGGGAAGTTGTCCTTTAATGATGAATTGGAGATACCTTCTAACAAACAAAAACTGAGGGAGTCTGTCACCACTACACCTGCCAAAGAGTGCTAAATATTCTTCAAGTTGAAAGAAAATGATGATAAACAAAGTAAAAATCTAACTGCTAAATACAAATATAAAGAAAGAAAAAGTATTGTAAAACTTTAATGGTGGCATGTAAATCACTTTTAACACTATATAAAATAGAAGACACAAGTAGTAAGAATAGCTATAACAACATACAGTTCTTCATGCAAACACAACATAGAAAGAAATAAAATCTGATGGCAATAACATAGTGTTTGTGTGTGGGGGATGGCAAAGTATAGAGTATGCATGCAATTCAAGTTGCTATTAGCTTAAAACAGACTGCAGTAACTATAAAATGTTTGATGAGAGCCCTGTAAAATATACAGTAGATTCATAAAAAATTAAAATAATCAAAGCACATCACTACAAAATATCAAATCTCAAAGAAACACAGAAGAAGAGAGAAACAAGAGAAACACAGAATGGACAGAAAACAATAAACAAAAGCAAGAAAGAGTATGTCCTAATCTATCAATAATTAATGTAAATGAACTAAATTCCCAAATCAAACAGAGTGGCTAGATGGATTTAAAAAAGCAATTACATGCCTATCTTTAAGAAACAGGATGCTTGTGAGAAAAAGTTTCCTTTGTAACCAGACCAGCTAAGACTGGTTAGAATCCATTTAAAAATGGCAAGAATAAGTCCTTACCTATGAGTTATTACTTTATATGTATGTAAATGGACTAAACTTCTAAATCAAAAGATATGTAGTGGCTATGTGGATTTAAAAAAAGATCATATTATATGCCATCTACAAGAGACTCACTTTAGATTTAAGAACACATGAAGCCTGAAAATAAAGCAGTGGAGGAAAATAGTTTATTCAGTGATGACCAAAAAAGAACATATCAGACAAAATAGCCTTCAGTAAAATGTGTCAAAAGAGTCAATAAGGTCATTATATAATGATAAAAGACTTTATTCAACAAGAAGATGTAACAGCTATAAAGATGTATGCACCCAACATCAAAGCACTTAAGTATAGAAAGCACACAATGACAGATATGAACGGAGAAATAGACAGGAATATGATAATAGCAGAAAACTTCAATTCCTCACTCTCTATAATGAGTAGGTCATCCAGGCCGAAAGTTAATAAGAACACAGCAGAACTTAACAATGTTATAGACCAAATGGAGTTAACAAATATATATACATACATATTCAGAACTTTTCACTCAGCAACAGAATACACATTCTTCTCAAGGGCAAGTAAAAAATTCTCCAGGATAGATCACATTTCAGGTCATAAATAAATCTGGACAAATTTAAGAAGATTAAAATCATTTCAAATATCTTTTATGACCACAAAGGAATGAAACTAGAGATCAATAATAGCAGGTACATGGGAAAATTCAGGAATACGTGGAAACTAAACATTTCCACATTGAGCAAACATTGAGTCAGAGAGGAAATCAAAAAGAAATTTTAAAAAATATATCTAGACACACAAAAACAAAAATACAACATAACAAAACTTACAAGTTGCAGCAAAAGCAGTGCTAAGAAGGAAGTATAAAGCTATAAACATCTATGTTAAAAAATTGAAACTATCTCAAATAACCTTAAACCTTAAGGAACTAGGAAAAAAACACAATATGTTGGTGTGTTAAACCCCAAATTAGAAGAAGGAAGGAAGTAACAAAGATTTGACTAGAAATAAATCAAATAGAGAATAGAAACACAATAAAAAATCAACAAAAATAAGAGTTTGTTTTATGAAAAAAACAAAATTGAGAAATCCTTAGTTACATTAACCAAGAAAAAAAGAGATAAGACTTTTCCTGTGATTTTTCTTCTGGCTTTGGTATCAAGATAATGCTGATCTCATAAATTAAATTTGAAAGTGTTCCCTTGTCTTCAATTTATTGAAAGAGTTTGAGAAGAATTGGCATTAATTCTTTAAATGTTTGGTAGAATACACCAGACACCTTTGTTCTTAGTAACTACCAGTTGTCCAGAGAGTGCAAGATCCAGTCAGCACCCTGAAACAAGTGAGGCAGAAGCTATTTGCTCAGGTAGCCTGACTTCTGATACACCTCTTTCCCTCCTTAGGGAAATGCTGAGAGCTAGAGTTTGCCTTAACTGCTGGCATCTGTGATGAACCTTGGAGACAGGCTGCATTGGAAGAGTGCAGTGTATCTTTTTCCCTCTCCAGGGAGAAGTTAGGAGGGTCTCCCTCCCTCCCTCCCTCCCTCCCTCCCTCCCTCCCTTCCTTCCTTCCTTCCCTTTTCCCTCCCTATTTCTCTCCCTCCCTCCCTCTTCCCCTTCTTTCTTTCTCTCTCTCTCCCTTTCTTTCTTTTCTGTCTCTGTACTGAGCTATTTTGTCTACATTGCCTACTCTGTTCTCACTGGCCCTTAATGATCAGAGCATGCTATGTCTTATGTCCTGTCAGTGCTATGAGACAGGCTAGATAGAAGTCAGTCCTCTGCATAACCTGTGGAAAATATGGGGCACTGGATGCATGGTGTACCCCAATGCCCTTCCCAAGGAGAAGCTTTTATTCCAATTGCATGATGCTCTGCCAGAAATAGAGATTACGGTACAAGGATAATGCAAATGTTCCTACCAGATTCCATGTGGCTGGTTTTATGCTAGACTGGGGTGTAGGAACATTATAACTAGGTTGAGAAGTGTCACAAATAGAATCTGTCCATGAATTGTTGTAGAATTACTTTGTTCATGGGGAAAGGAGGATCTAGGGCTTCCTGTTGCACCATCTTGCTGACTGAGAAACTGAAGCTTATTTCTGGCTCTGCATGGCTGATGTACAATCCCCAGAGTGAAAAGAAAACTTGAGTAAAATATTGAGTCTCTAAGGAACTAAAGGCAGATTATGGTCCAGGGTGGAAATACAATTCCCCCGTTTTCCTGTTACTCTTAAAATCTGTTTCCTGGGGAAGAGACTGAGCAAGCTTCTATCCTCTTTAGAACAACTTGTATTATTATCATTAAACTCATAGTAAGTCTTCTGGTGTCTCATTAAATGGCATATATGATAACAATAAAGACTTTATTTTTTCTGATGCTTGAGAGGATTCAAAGCAATAATAATAAATTAGATGATCTGTAGTTCAGAAAAAATTTCAGAACATACTGGAAATAGAGTTTGGGCTGCACCTTCTTAGAAGCAAAAAACCCAAAGCCTCAGACCCTGAAATTGCCCTTCCAGGACCACTGGGTAAGTAATCAACAGTACGCACCAAGGTTGTCTGGCATGAGAGGGTGTATTTCTGAATTCTATTTATATTACTGTCTTGCTTTGAAACGGAATTACAGGGATATAACATATTGCCTTTTATTTTACACCTTGTCAGTCTTGAGATTCAAGTGCAACTGATGTAAGAATCTATTTAAAGTGGGAGCTGGGAATGTTCAGAGAAAACAGAGAAAGCGGTGGATGCGGTATTTTGGTCAGTAATTCCCTCTCCATGAATGAAAATCTACCTCTTCTAGATTTATGGCTTTTTCTGTGACTTGGAGTAGTAATATAACCTTTTCTAGACTTGGTTCCCCTACCTGTGTATTAGAAACAAGATTCTTTCTCCCTCCCACACCACAGTCTAATCTGCATTGGAGATGGGCACCAGGTCGCAAAGGTCTCTGCTTCCAATTTTAACGGTGAGGGAGGACTCAAGTGAATGAAGAAATAATGAGATGAGGGAAGGATGATTCTGTCCCCATTCATCCTTTTTCTCCCTTATTCTATCACTTCTTAAGAGTTACGTTTGCATATGGGAGAACCAGCCTTCACTCCATAGGCTAAGTTGGTGCTATATCTGGTTTAGTAAGATTCTACCATGGGTAAGTCAATGTCACTCAGTAACATAGTAGTGGTAAAGGCAGATTCTGTGGGTCCACATCAGTCTAGTTTCAGACAATCTCAACAATATTCCAAGGTGTGGGAGAAAACACCATGGGAAGTTCTGGGTTGTCCTCTTATGCAACCCTTTTCTCCTGTGTCCATAGATTCCCTTAGAGTAGAATGGCTCCTGGAAATGGCTCTTTGATGAATGAATTCATTCTGGTGGGGTTAACAGACTAGCCAGATCTTTAACTCCCTCTGTTCTTCATGTTTCTTGTAATGTATGTTGTCACTGTGATAAGAAACTTTGTCTTGGTAATTCTAACTATGCGAAATTCACGTCTTCACACTCCCAAGTACTTTTTCCTTTCTAAATTGTTCTTCACAGACCTCTGTTATTCTTCTGTGTTTATACTCCAACTTCCGAGGAAGTGTATTTCAGAGGAGAATGTTATCTCCTACATGGTTTGCATGATCTAGCTTTTCTTTTTCTTTTTCTGTTTTTTTTTTTTTTTAATTTATTTCTGAATGTTATATGCTGACGTCAATGGCCTATGATTGCTGTGTGGCCATCTGTTACCCACTTCTTTATCACATTGCCATGTCCCCTAAAGTGTGTTTCAGCCTTATGCTTGGTTCCTACTTCCTATCCTTTTCTGGGGCCATGGCCCACACTGGATGCATGCTGAGGCTGACCTGTGATGCAAACACCATCAATCATTACTTCCGTGACATCCTCCCTGTGTTCCAGCTCTCCTGCACCAGCACCTACATCAATGAACTGGTGGTTTTCATTGTGGCAGGCATCAATACCATTGTGCCCACTGTCACCGTCTTTATCTCTTATGGTGACATCCTCTCCAGGATCCTCCACATCAGTTCCAATGAGGGAAGGTCCAAAGCCTTCAGCACTTGCAGTTCCCACATAATTGCTGTTTCTCTGTTCTTTGGATTAAGTGCATTTATGTATCTCAAACCATCTTCTGCTGGGTCTATGGATGAGGGAAAATTCTCTTCTGTTTTTTATATGAATGGGCTTCCCATGATGAGCTCCTTAATCTACAGCTTAAGGAGGAAAGATGTTAAATTTGCCATGGGAAAATCTCTGAGTAGGAGAATGTTTTTGCCATAAACAACATTTCTCTGTGTATGTAGTTACAGGATGGGGATTCTCTGTATTTTATTATAATAATTGAGGAGGAAATAATTTTTCCTATTTGTTATCATGATGATGGTTAGTTGAGTATCATCCTGTCAATTTGTCTCCAATTTTTTATAGTAGATTTTTCCCCTCACCCTTTGCACATCTTTCCCCTTTTCATCATTTTTCCTGTGTAATAATAAAGAAAGTTTTTCTCTTTTTCCATTGTCATTATGGACTTCCTTTTTTCTTCTAGAAAAGATGATTGGTTTTTCAAATGATCAAGTAAAGTAAAATTAGGATAACAATGTTCCGCTGCATGTAAGAGCCTGACAACCTGTCTCTACTCGTCTTTCCATCCTCCACTGGGCAGCATCATGCATCCTTTAAACGTCAGCGTTTTCCAGACAGACAAGGTTCAACAAGACTTAACAAATACAGCCCACTTTGCAGTTTTAAATACTACACATGAAGCTTCTTTTGGCATTAATTTTACGTTTACCTTGGTATACCCCAAATAGCTTATATAGATCACCAGTATACACTGATTGCATCTATGAGGTGCTGAAACTAAGAGATGCTAATGATTCCCTTAAAGTCACACAATTTCTTTATAAAAAAGCCTAAAAAAATAAGTTAATAGACTCCTGATTTCAAGTCTACTACTTTTTCTGGTATGCTTTATTATTTCACTTATTAAACACGAGATACTATATGAGAAAACATTTCTTTTGGACAGTTGAGTGCACTTTGTTTCTAGATGATAAATAATCTCAGGATGGTTGTTGCTTTAGTTTTTTGTTCTGGGAAATTGTGTTTTTGGGTGAAATTGTGAAAGTGGAGATCTATTAAGCTGGGGTAGTTGCGAATTGATTGGCTCAAGTAGGGAGTTGATGTATTTTACAAAATCAAAAAGTATATTGAAATATTTTCTGGTGTTTATAACTCAGAGAATAGAGGCATAGGAGAGAAAAGAGCCTACCAATTTGTCATTTAGGCAAGAATCCAAAGAGACACATAGCCAATATACAAGAGGTCCCTCTGTGGGGATTATCAATTAGGATTTAGAAACCATCTGAAATTCTCAATTTAAATTCTCAGTCTGAATTTGTATCTGTTCTGTAAATTACTGTAACTATATTTTATTAGCATAAAGCTTTGATAAAATTTGTAATCCAAAACGACTATACATTAAATAATGTTTCGAGGAGTGAATGTGAGAAATCTATGGTCATATTTGTGGAGAACCAGGAAGGGAAAGAAAGGAAACTTCAACCAGAAAAATAATGAGTGGCAATTGGATTTCAAGTTAGGAAAGAGGAACTTAGAAAGTAGAACAATGGAAAATTAAAGCTTCTACCTATGACTCCTTTTTCTCTAAATTGGAAGGCCTTACAAATACTATGGTGATCATAGAATTTTTCTGAGTAGGACGAAGGCATAAGTTATCTGATATTAAAGAAAGGTTAAACCTGAGGGCTGGAGGACCTGCAGACAACTAAATCACTCATGGTTTTGTGGCTTTCATTAGGTATTTTCATTTTAAGGTATTAGAAACTCATATTGCAGTTGTCAGATAATATAAGCACGTAACAACATACGGGAGGGTGTGTTGTAGGTTATAAACATGAAACAAATAAGGGCAATGAATTGGAGTGAGCTAAGAGGAAAGTAGTGCTGAGTAAAAAAAAAAAAAGTGATTTCATCTGAAAGATTACAGAGCATTATGCATTATATGGCCATGTATATCATAATGTTAAAATTACGTAACTACGCAGACTATGTGTGTGTGTGTAATATATTTTTTGACAGGCATTTCTGGAGTCACTAACTGTGTGATAATGATTGTACCTAAAAGTCAAACAGGCACTGTTAGAAAAGGAGGGGAGAAGAAAGTTCCCGATCTTTTAGGCCTGGTGGAATGTGTTATTTGTGATGTAAAATTTTGAATAGAATATTAAGCCTCCAAAGACAGCAAGGCAAAAGCACCTTGGTCTGTGTATAAACGACTTCATAATTATGTCTTTATTAAAGCACTTGAATTATAGATAGGCTCCTGGAGAAGCCACTATATCAGAATAAAATAGCTTACATGATGCTACCTGTAATTATTATAATATCTCAAAAACAGAGATTGCTGTTTAGATGCCTTGTTTTTGGTTACATGATTACTTCTGGGCAAAATCGTAATTAAAAATCATGACTTTTATTTGACTGACATCAAAGACTGAGACTTATAAGTGCCCTTAGCATCTCTACAGAAAAAGAAGAGGAGGAGCGTTAGAATAATCCTTAGGCCACTATGACCATAAGTGTACAGTTTTTGTGTGTGAGCAGAAGCTTTTATTTTTGTAGGCAAATACCTTAAATTGTGACGACCTTAAGAGAAACTACGAATGGTTTTCTAACAGATGCACCATGTTGCATTCCCACCACTGATGAATGAACATTTCAGCTGCTCTGTGTACTCATTAGCATTAGATTTAGTCACTTTGTTTATTTATTTTCACTTTTCTAATAGGTTTTTAGTGGTATGTCATTGTGATTTTAATTTGACTTTCCCTAATAACTAAAGATGTTGAGGATCCTTTCATGAGTTTATTTCCCATCCATATGCCGCTTTTGGGCAAAGTGTCTAGGTACAACCTTTGTTCATTTATTTAATCAGTTGTTGCTTTACTTATTTTTGAGGTTTACTGGTTCTTTACAGATTCTGGATGTATATTACTTAATAGAAGTATGATTTGAAAATATAACCTTCCAGTGTTTGGCTTGTTTCATTCTTTGAGTATTATCTTTCTTAGAGGAAAGGATTTTAACTTTGATAATGTCTAATTAACTATCTTTTTTTCTCTGATGGACTCTGTTTTTGGTAGCTTATCAGGAATCTTTGCCTTACTCTATGTCAAAAAGTTTTCCCTTTGCTCCCTTCTAAAAATCTTAAAGGTTAATGTTTTATCTTTATGTCTGAGTAATTCTGTGATAATTATATTAATGATGTGAGTTAGGTGTCTTAGTCTCTTCTGCATTTCTATAACAGACTGCCAAGACTGAGTAATTTATAAAGAAAAGAAATTTATTTCTTACACTTTCTGGAGGCTGAGAAGTCCAACATTAAGGTGGCAGCATCTGGAGAGCCTTTTTGCTGAGACATAACATGGCAGAGGGCATCACAGGCAGAGGGCATGAGCTTGTGTGTCAGCTTAGGTCTCCCTTTCTCTTCTTACAAAGCCAACAGTCTCATCATGGGGGTCCACCTTAATGACATTATCTAATCTTTGTTAACCTCAGAAGGCCTCACCTTCAATCAGCATATGAGCTTGGGATTAAGTTTCCAACACATAAAATTTGGGGAACACATTCAAACCATAGCGGTAGGTTTTGAGATTTTTTTCTTTTTGTTATGAATATGGAATTATTCCAGTGTGATTGCTTGAAAAGCCCATAATTTCTTCAATAGATTGCCGTTGCACATTTGTCAAAATCAATTAGCCTAATATATGTGGGCCTATTTCTGGACTCTACATTCTGTTCCATTGATCCATCTGTGTAACCTTCTGACAATATCACACTGTTTTAATTATTGCAGAACTATAGGGAGTCTTGAAATCAAGTAGTGTGAGACCTCCTACTCTGTTTCTTTGAAAAATTGTTCTGGCTATTTTTTTTTTTTTGGCTATTTTTGTGTCTTTGTCTATCCATATAAATTTTGTCATCAATTTCTCACAATCAAACTTACTTGGAATTAATGTAATTTCATGGATTGTATACATCAGCTTTAAAAAGATGGACATGTTAGAAATATTCAGTCTTCCAATGTTTGGCTTATTTCATTCAAGATTGAACTTTAGTTGTCATGATGTATTATCTATTTTATGTACTTTAGAATTGAATTTGCTAAAATTTCAAAAATTGTACGCATATATATGCACATATACACACAAATGTTAGTAGTAGGTTTATTTTTAACAGCCAAAAACTGTAAACAACCTAGATGTCTATCAACAGTTTAATTGATAAATTATGGTATCTTCATCTTTACAATGGAATAATACACAGCAACAAAAAGGAATATAAATATGGTATATCTTTCTATTTACATAAGTTTTCTATTTCTTTAATTAGTTTTAGTTTATGGTGTACATATCTTTTATGTAGTTTATTAGATTTATTTTGAAGGTTTCATGATTTTTGGTGCTGTTGTAATATTGCCTTTTAAAAACTTCAATTTCCAATTGTTCATTGCATAGAACACCATGTCATTTACAAATAGAAATAATCTTATTTTTTCCTGTGCAATGTATCTGTCATTTATTATTTTTTCTTGCCTTATTGCACTGTCCATGAATCCACTACATGATCATGTAGTAGCAGTGAGAGTGGAATTTTTTTTTCTTTTCACCAGACTTATAGGTAAAGAATTCACTCTTTTAAGTGTGAAGTTAGGTGTAGCTTTGTTTGTTTGTTTGCAGATTCCCTTCATCATGTTAAGAATTCCTTTTTATTTTTAGGTTTAATTTTTAAAAATATTATATAAACACGACAATTGTGAATTTTTTTTTCATTTTTTAAGATGATTATACAGTTTTAGTACTGTGATTCCAGGAAGGCTTTGAAGGTGATGGGTATGTGCATTTTCCTGATGCAGTGATGATTTCACAGTGTAAACACATGTTAACATTTGCCATATTGTACATTTTAAATATGTATAGCTTATTGTATAGCAATTTTGCCTCAAAAAAGAAGTATGAGAAAAGCTCCCTCCCCCAAATTTGTATACTTAGGATTTGTGCGTACTATGTACTAAAATTACATTTCAATAATATACTGCCACGAAAAGTCATACAAAAAACCTGAAGCAGGCAAGACCTCAGAGAATATAGTCCTTCTAAGCTAGTCTTGAAGAAAATGCTTGACAAATGAATCAAAAGAACTCAAGAAAGTAGAAGCCTGGGTGTAAGCACTGAATTATTTAAATACAAAATTAAGACTAAATAACTGAGAGTTATGGTTATAGAGCATAGCTGAATGCCACAGCCTTGAATATATACACACATAGTTTACATAGTTAAAGCCACCGGGGTTTGGAATGACAGACAAGAGTAATGTGAACACGTTGTTTCTTCACGCTATAGAAGTTCATTCAATAAAGTGAAAGCTGAAACTTGATTGGAAACAAACTGCTAAACGAGAAAGACTGTAGACTAAAAAGATTCCCTTAACTCTTCCCTTAACTGTAAAGGAATAACGAATGATAATTATTTCTGGTAAAGAAGTTGTTACCTAAATTTTAGCAGTTTCTTCAAATTTCATTTCTATTTAGCTTTTATCAGGCAAAATTTAAATGAGTTATTTTATTAAGAATGATATTAAGAGCATGCTTGCACTTGGTAAAATAATTCCATCTATTTTTGTACTGACTTCTCATTTTTTATGCAGTAAAATATTTTATTAACAATTTTTATATTGACTGCATGTTGAAAGGATAATATTTTTGACCTATTGGATTAAATAAAATATATTGGTAAAATTAATTTTACCTATATCTTTTTTTATTACACTTTAAGTTCTGGGGTACATGTGCAGAACATGCAGGTTTGTTCCATAGGCATACAGGTGCCATGGTGGTTTGCTGCACCTATCAACCCATCATCTACATTAGGTATTTCTCCTAATGCTATCCTTCCCCCAGCCCCCACTCCCCAACAGGCCCTGGTGTGTGATGTTCCCCTCCCTGTGTCCATGTGTTCTCATTGTTAAACTCCCACTTATGAGTGAGAACATACGGTGTTTGGTTTTCTGTTCTTGTGTTAGTCTGTTGAGAATGATGGTTTCCAGTGTCATCTATGTCCCTGCAAAGGACATGAACTCATCCTTTTTTATGGCTGAATAGTATTCTATGGTGTATATGTGCCACATTTTCTTTATCCAGTCTATCACTGATGGACATTTGGGTTGGTTCCAAGTCTTTGCTATTGTGAATAGTGCTGCAATAAACATACGTGTGCATGTGTCTTTATAGTAGAATGATTTATAATCCTTTGGGTATATACCCGGTAATGGGATCACTGGGTCAAATGTATTTCTAGTTCTAGATCCTTGAGGAATTGCCACACTGTCTTCCACAATGGTTGAACTAATTTACTCTCCCAGCAACAGTGTAAAAGCATTCCTATTTCTCCATGTCCTCTCCAGCATCTGTTGTTTCCTGACTTTTTAATGATCGCCATTCTAACTGGTGTGAGATGGTATCTCATTATGGTTTTGATTTGCATTTCTCTAGTGACCAGTGATGATAAGCTTTTTTTCATGTTTGTTGGCTGCATAAATGTCTTCTTTTGAGAAGTGTCTGTTCACATCCTTCGTCCACTTTTTGATGGGGTTGTTTGTTTTTTTCTTGTAAATTTGCTTAAGTTCTTAAAAATATGAACTTATATTTGGCTTGCATTATATATATTTTCTTTATGTTTTAATTGACATATAATAATTACAAATACTTATGGGATACAGAATGATATCTTCACACATGTATACAGGGTGTAATGGTCAAATCAAGGTAATTAGCATATCCATAACCTTGAACATTTATCATTTATTTATACTGTGAACATTCAAACTCCTCTCTTCTAGCTTTTTGACCATATACATGAAATTTTGATAACCATATTCACCCTAAGATACTACATAACACTGGAAATTGTTCCTCCCATCTGGCTTTAAGTTTGTCTCTGTTAACCAATCTCTCCCTATCCTCCACTTCTGTTTACTCTTCCCAGCCTCTAATAACCAGAATTTGACTTCTCTTTACTTCCATGAGCTCAACATGTTTTTATCTCCTACATGTGAGTAAGAAATACAATATTTATCTTTCTGTACCTGGCTTTTTTCACTTCACATAATTTCCTCCAGGATCACCCATAGTGCCATGAACGACAGGATTTCCTTCCTTTTTTATATCTGAACAGTCTTCCACTATGTATATACACCAAACTTTTCTCATTCATTCATTCACCAATGAACATCTAAGTTGATCCTACATGCTGGCTACTATGAATAGAGCTGCAATAAACATGGGATGCAGGTGTCTCTTTATATAGTGATTTCCATTTCTTTGGATAAATACCCAGTGGTGGGATTGCTGGATTGCATGGTAGTTCTACTTTTAGTTTTTTGAGAAACTTCAATATTGTTTTTCATAATGGCTCTACAAATGTACATTCCTACCAACAGTATGTAAGAGTTCCTTTTACTCCACATCCTTGGTGGCATTTGTTGTTTTTCGACGATAGCCAATTTAACTGGGGTGAGATGACATCTCATTTTGGTTTTTATTTGCATTTCTCTGAGTATTAGTGATTTTGAGACTTTTTTTATATGCTTGGCCATTTTTATGTCTTCTTTTGAGAAATGTTTATTCAGATCTTTTGCTCATTTTAAAATATGTATATTTTTGGCTGTCAAGTTGTTTGAGTTCTTTGTTGGATGAATAGTTTGCAAATATTTTCTACCATTCTATAGGTTGTCTCTTCAGTCTGTTGACTGTTTTCTTTGTTGTGCTGAAGGTTTTTAGTGTTCCACAGTTTTGTTTTTGTTTTATTACCCGTGCTTTTGAAGTCTTACCTACAAAATTTTTGCCTAGACCAATGTCTTGCAGGGTTTCCTATATGTTTTCTTCCAGTAGTGTTATAATTTGGGGTTTTACATATAAGACTTTAATCCATTTTGAGTTGAGTTTTGTATATGAGAGATAAGGATCTAGATTCATTCTTTTGCCTATGGATATTCAGTTTTCCCAGAACTATTAATTGAAGACAGTATCCTTTCCACAATGGGTACATTCTTGGCATCTTTGGCAAAAGCCAGTTGGCTGCAAATACATGGATTTATTTCTAGGATCTCTATTCTGTTCCATTGAACTATGTGTCTGTTTTTATGTCACTACCATGCTGTTTTGGTTCCTACAGCTTTTTAGTGTATTTTAAAGTCAGATTGTGTGATACTTCCAGCTAGGTTGTTTTAGCTCAGTATTCCTTTGGCTGTTTAGGGTCTTCTGTGATTCCATGTGAATTTTAGAATTATTTTTTTCTATTTCTGTGAGGAAAGTCATTGATATTTTGACAGGGCTTGCATTTACTATGTTTATTGCTTTGAGTAATATGGTTATTTTTAACAATATTAATTCTTGTAATCCAGGAGCATGGGATATCTTTCCATTGTTTGGTGGTTTCTTCAGTGTCTTCCATCAGCGTTTTATAGCTCGCATTATAAAGAATTTTTACCTGTTTGGTTAATTTCTAAGTATTTTATTTTTTTTGTAGCTATTATAAATGGGATAGCTTTCTTGATTTATTTTCATCTAGTTCATTATTGGTGTATAGAAACACCACTGAGTTTTGCATGTTGATTTTGTATCCTGAAACTTTACTGAATTCATTTATCAATTCTAAGAGTTTTTTGGTGGGGTCTAGGTTTTTCTATATGTAAGATTATGTAATCTGCAAAGAGGGACAATTAGACTTTCTCTTTTCCAATTTGGATGCCTTTTTTTTTTCCTCTTGGCTAATTGCTCTGGCTAGCTCTTCCTGTATTATATTGAATAGCAGCGCTGAAGGTGAGCATTCTTGTCTTGTTCTATTTCTTAGATGAAACACTTTCAGCTACTTCCCATTTAGTATGATGTTAACTGTGGTTTTTTAATATATGTCCTTTATTATGTTGAGGTGTGTTCCTTTTATATCTAATTTGTTGAGAGTTTTTTTCATGAATAACTTGATTTTTATCAAATGCTTTTTCTGCATCTTGAAAAAATTAGGATTTTTGTCCTTCATTCTGTTGATGAATCACATTTATGATTTGCATATGTTGAAGAAAATGTGCATTCCTGGGATAAACTCCACTTGATCATAATGTGTTATCTTTCTGATGGGTTGTTGGATTCAGTTTTCTAGTATTTTGTTGAGGACTTTTGCATCTGTGTTCATCACCAATGTTGGCCTGTGTGTGTGTGTGTGTGTATGTGTCCTTGTCTAATTTTGGTGTCAAGGTAATGCTGGATTCATAGAAAGAGTCAGGAAAAATTTCTTCCTGTTGAATTTTTTGGAAAAATTTGAGAACTGGTGTTAGCTCTTATTTATGTGTTTGGTAACATTCAGCAGTAAAGTTATCTGGTTCCGGGCTTTTCCTCATTGACAGACTTTTTATTACCTATTCAATCTCATTACTCATTATTGGTCTGTTCATGTTTTCTATTTCTTCTTGGTTCAATCTCTATAGCTTATATGGGTTCAAAAATCTATCCATTTCTTTTAGGCTTTCTAGTTTTTTTTTGCATATAGTTGTTTATAATAGGCTCTAATCATCCTTTGAATTTATGTGGTATCAGTTGTAATATATTTTTTGTCATTTCTGATTTTATTTATTTGGGTCTTCTCTGTTTTTTTCCTTATGCTAGCTAATGGTGTGTCAATATTGTTTCTCCTTTTAAAATTTAACTTTTCATCTATTTAATCTTTTGTATTATTTTTCAATCTCCATTTTGTTTAGTTTCGCTCTGATCTATATTATTTCTTTTCTTCTAATAATTTTAGTTTTTCTCCCTTGGTTTTCTAGTTCCTTGAGGTGCATACTTAGGTCATTAAAAAATTATTCTACTTTTTGATGTAGTACTGTTTTCATGGTATCTCATAGGTTTTGGTATAACTTGACTCAATTTTTATTTGTTTTAAGAAATCAAATTTTTTCATTGTCCAGTGGGTGTCTGGGAGCATGGTATTTAATTCTCATGCCGTGTATAGTTTCCAGAGTTCCTTTTGCTACTGATTTCAAGTTTTATTCCATTGTTGTCCGAAAATATAATTAATATGGTTTAGATTTTTAAATATTTGTTGAGATTTTTTTGTGTGTGTGGCCCAACACATGGTCTATTCTGGAGAAATTTTTTTGTGTTGGTGAGAAGAATGTATATTCTTCAGCTGTTGGATAAAATGTTCTATAAATATCTGTTAGGTCTATTTGATCTATAGCTCAGTTTAAGTCTAATATTTCTCTGTTGATTCTCTCTAGATGATCTGTCCAATGCTGAAAGTGGGGTAGTGAAGTCCCCATCTAGTATTTTAGTGGGGTCTATCTCTTTAGGTTGAAATTTGCTTTATATATCTGGGTGCTCTGTGTTGAGTGCGTGTGTATTTATAATTGTTATATCCTCTGGCTGAATTTACTGCTTTATCATGCCTTCTTTGTCTCTTTTTATGTTTTTTGACTTAAAGTGTATTTTGTTGATATAAGTATAGCTACTCCTGCATGCTTATATTTTCCATTTGTGTGAAATATTTTTTCTATGTCTTCTCTTTCCTTCTATGTTTGACTTTGCAGGTGAAGTGAGTTTCTTGTAGGCAACATGTAGTTACTGTGGCAAGTTTTTAAATAAGACAACAATAAAGTTTGCCTCATGAATGGACTCTTCCTTTCATGAAATAGTTCTCTGTAGCATTCAATGCTATTTGATAACATTTTATACTTAGTAGAACTTCTGTCATAATTGGAGTTGGTCCTCCAATTCAGCCACTTCTTTATTAACTAAGTTTATGTAATACTCTAAATCCTTTCTTGTCATTTCAACAATATTCACGGCATCTTCATCAGAAGTAGATTCATTCTAAAAAAGCATTTTTAAATTTCTTTGCTTATCCATAAGAAGCAACTCCTCATCTGTTAAAGTTTTATTATTAGATCCTAGCAATTAGTCACCTCTTCAGGCTCCACTTACGTAATTTTAGTTCTCTTGCTGTTTTTAACACATCTGTAGTTACTTCCTCCACTGAAATCATCCATGGAGGTTGGAATCAACTTCTCCCAAACTCCTGCTAATGCTGATTTTTCAACCTCCTTCCATGAATCACAAATGTTCTTAATGGTATCTAGAATGGTAAGTTATTTCTGGAATGTTTTCCTTTGCCTAGATCCATCAGAGAAATTACTATCTTTGGCAGGTATAGCCTTATAAAATGTACTTAAATAATAAGACTTGAAAATCTAAATTACTGCCCCACCCATTGGCTTCAGAATGGATGTTTTGTTAGCAGGCATGCAAACAACATTAATCTTTTTGTACATCTCCATCAGAGTTATTGGGTGACTAGGTTCATTGTCAATAAGCAGTCATATTTTGAAACAAAGATATATTTTTTCTGAGCCGTAGGTCTCAACAATTGACTTAAAATATTCACTAAATCATTCTGTAAACAAATCTTCTGTCAGTCAGGCTTTGTTGTTCCATTTGTAGAGCATAGGCAGAATAGGTATAGCATAACTCTTAAGGCCCCTAGGATTTTCAGAATGATAAACAAGTGTTGGTTTCAACATAAAGTCACCAGCTGCATTAGCCCCTAACAATAAAGTCAGTCTGTCTGTTGAAGCTTTGAAGCCAGGCATTAACTTCTCCTCTCTAGCTGTGAAAGTCCTAGATAACATCTATCTTCTTCTTTTTTTATTTTTTTACTTTTTTTTGAGACAGAGTCTTACTCTGTCACCCAGGCTGGGATGCAATGATGCAATCTCAGCTCACTGCAACCTCTGCCTCCTAGGTTCCAGCGACTCTCGTGCCTCAGCCACCCTAGTAGCTGGGACTACAGGCATGCACCACCACACTTAGCTAATTTTTGTATTTTTAGTAGAGACGGGGATTCACCATGTTGACCAGGCTGGTCTCAAACTCCCGACCCCAGGTGATCTGCTAACCTCGGCCTCCAAAAGTACTGGGATTATAAGCATGAACCACCAACCCTGGCCTCTTCTAATATAAAGCCGTTTTATCTACATTGAAATCTGTTGTTTAGCGTAGCTACCTTCATCAGTGATCTTAGCTAGATCTTCTGGATAACTTGCTGCAGCTTCTATGTCCATACCTGCTGCTTCACCTTGCATTTTAGGTTATGAAGGAGGTTTCTTTCCTTAAAGTTCATGAAGCAACCTCTGCAAGTTTTTAACTTTTCTTCGGCAGCTTCCTCATCTCTCTCAGCCTTTATAAAATTGAAGACAGTTAGGGCCTTGCTCTGGATTAAGTTTTTGCTTAGGGGAGTGTTGTGGCTGGTTTTATATTCTATCTAAATGACAGAAATTTTCTCCATATCAGCAATAAGTCTGTTTAATTTTCTTGTCATTCATGTGTTCACTGGAGTAGCAGTTTTAATTTCCTACAATATCTTTCTTTTGCATTCAACTTGGCTAACAGGTGCAAGAGGACTACCTTCCAGCCTATCTCAGCTTTTGATATGCCTTCTTTACTAAGCTTAATTGTTTGTGGCTTTTGATTTAAAGTGAAAGATATGACTCTTCCTTTCACTTAAAAACTTAGAGCTCATGGTCAGGCTTATTAATTGGCCTAATTTCAATGTTGCTGTGTCTCAGACAACAGGGAGGCCTGAGGAGAGGGAGAAAAATGGGGCACTGCTGGCCAGTGGAGCAGTCAGAACACACACAACACTTATCAGTTAAGTTTTCCATCTTATATGGGTGTGGTTTGTGGTGCCCTGAAACAATTACAATAGTAACATCAAAGATTACTGATCACAGATCACCATAATAAATATAGTAATAATGCAAAATTTGAAATATTGCAAAAATTACCAAAATGTGATACAGAGACATAAACTGAGCACGTGCTGTTGAAAAAATGATGCTGATAGACTTGCTGGATGGAGGGTTGCCATAAACCTTCAATTTGTAAAAAACGCAGTAGCTGGAAAGCAAAATAAAGTGAAGCACAATACAATGAGATATACTTGTGTATAGAGTCATTTATGGTATAAGGACAATTTGGTCAAAGAGAGGACCACATATACATAATATTACAATGGAACTGGAAAATTTCTATCACCTAGTGACATTGTATCCATTGAAAGTCGTAGCTCAATGCATTACTCACAAGTTTGTAATGATGCAGATGTAAACAAGCTTACTGTGCTGCCAGTATAATGCATAAAATTTTAAGCGATTATGTTACTGTTTTACGTACTTACTATACTGTTCTGTTTATCGTTATTGTAGAGGGCACTCCTTCTAATTATAAAAGATGACGTTAACTGTAAAATAGCCACCAGTAGGATTTTTTAAGGAGGTATTCTAGAATAAGGCACTGTTATCATAGGAGATGACAGCTCCATGTGTGTTATTGCCTCTAAAGACCTTCTAGTGGGGACAAGATGATGAGGTGGAAGGCAGTGATATTGGTGACCCTGACTCTGTGTAAGCCTAGGCTAATGTAGGTGTGCTTCTGTCTTAGATTTTAACAAAAAAGTTTGAAAAATGTAAAGATAATAAAAAATTTTAAAGTAAAAAAGCTGATAGAATAAGGATATGAAAGAAAAAATATTTTTGTTCAGTTGCACACTGTCTTTGTGTTATAAGCTAAGTGTTATTTTAAGACAATTAAAAAGTTAAAAAATTTAATAAGCTTATAAAATAAAAAAGTTATAGTAAACTATGGTTAATTTATTATTGAAGAAAGAAAAAGTTTCTATAAATTTAATGTGGACCAAGTGAACAGTGTTGATAAAGTCTACAGTAGTGTACAGTAGTGTCCTAGGTCTTCACATTCACTCGCCCCTCACTCACTGACTCACTTAGACAATTTACATTTCTGCAAACTTTATTCATGGTAGATGCCCTATACAGGTATACCATTTTTAATTTTTTATATCATTTATTTTTACTTTACTTCTTCTATGTTTAGATACATAAATACTTGCCATTGTGTTACAGTTGCCTGCAGTATTCAGTATAGTAACAAGATGTGCAGATTTGTACCCTAGGAGCAATAGGTGATGCCATATAGCCTAGGTTGTAGTAGGCTATTTCATCTAGGTTTGTGTAAGTACACTCTATGATGTTTGCATGACAAGATTGCCTAACGATGCATTTCTCAGAGCATATCCTGTCATTATATGATACATGACTGAATATATGTATATGTGTGTATACATAAGTAATTATATTTCATATATAGTACAGATAATATGTATGTATGTGTGTGCATGTGTGTGTGCATATATGTAATATATATATATGTAGTTTTAGCAGATGAACATCTTGGGGTGATTCCTGCTTCTTTTTCAGTAAACATTAAAGAGAGAAACAGTAATTTATTATGATGAGAAGGAAAGTTTGCATAGGTTTAAACTTAAATTTTAAGTATAATCTTTGGTCACCTGCCTGGTATTCTTTGTTCACTATACCTTTTAGTTATTTATCTTTTTTTTCCTTTTTTTAAAAATTGCTATGGTCTCTAAAATGTAAATATTTCTGACATTTTATTTCTTATATTTGCTAGGAAGACTTAGTTTGCACAATACTTAATGTGTTCAAAATACTTTGACCAATCATAACAGTTCTTTCATGGCTTCTCATGAACTCTAACCCTTACTCAATTTCTGCTCCAATTTTAAACAAGGTTGAACCATCATTTTAAAACATATTTTTATTACATAGTTTCGATTGCCCAGTGGGTAACGGGGAGCCACTGGAAATTTTTCAGCTAGAGAGAGAGAGAGATCTGTGCCTTCAGAGTTTACTCCAGGAGCAATGTTGATGGCTGAATAGAGTAAGTACATGAGAAGAGATTAGAATTATTCTCTAGTCTATGATATTTTGTTAGGAGCCACTGGAATTCAGTAGCACAGTTCAGTTAGAAACTAAAATGTGCCTGAAATTGTGTAGTAGCTGAGGGAAAAGACTGGAGGTTGTTGGGGTTGTAAAGTCTGTTGTTTAGCATGTGAAAGATGTAGAAAATATTCTGAACAGTTTTGGTCAGAGAACAATGTAATTCCAACAAATACTTACTTAGTACACACTATGTACTATGAACCATACTTAGCACCTGGAACGAAGTATTAAATATTAAAGAAGACAGAAATGATATTTATCCTTACAGAACTTATAGTATATAGGTGGAACACAGAAATCAGAAGGAGCAAAAATGTCTCCATCTGTAATCCCAGCACTTTGGGAGGTCTAGGTGGGCGGATCCTTGGAGCCCAGGAGTTTGAGGCCAGCCTAGTCAACATGGTGAAACCCTGTCTCTACAAAAAAACACAAACAAACAAAAAAAAAAAAACAAAAATTATCCAGGTGTGGTGGCGTGCACTTGTAGCTCCAGCTACTCGGGAGGCTCACGTGGATTGCTTGAGCCCAGGAAGTTGAGGCTGTAGTGAGCTGTGCTCCTGTCACTGCACTCTAGCCTGGGAGGAGAGCAATGCGTTGACACACACACACACACACACACACATACACACACACACACACACACACAAAGGTCTGATGAGTTTTATGATAAAGGATGTACCAGAAGCTATGAGAACAGAAATAGCAACAGCTGATATTTATTGCTTATTTACCACTGTTCTAACCATTTTACTTACATTTTTTTCATTTAATCATCATAAAAACCCATGAATAATGCTATTTTTTAACATTCTTATTTTACAAATGTGAACCAAAGGCACAGGGAGACTAAGTAAGTTGCTTGAGTTAGTAAGCCTGGGAATGGGATTCCCACACATTTCCTATAACTGCATAGCCCAAACTCTGAACTACTATGGTGAGAATATATTGATGACCTCATTAACGAAATGTTCCATTTAGGACTCAGTGGGACACTCATGTAGAAATTTCTACAAGGTGTTTAGATGTAAAAACTTTAAAAGGGAATTAAGACATTAATTTTTTTTCAAAGATATACCATGAGAGCCAACTGAAGTGAGTTACTGCCATCTTTGTGCTGTAGTTTGAATGTAGGTCTCCCCTAAATTCATATATTAAATATCTCACCCCCAAGGCAACAGAATTAGGAGGGGAGATCTTTTGTAAATGATCATGGAGACAGAACCCTCTTGAATAAAATTAGCATCCTTATAAAAGAGCTCCAGAGTCAGCCTTTGCCCTTTCTGCCATGTGTGTTTAGAGTAGGAAGGCAGCTGTCTACCTGGAAGCAGGGCCTCACCAGAGATGGCCTTGATCTTGACCTTCAGCCTCCAGAATTGTGAGAAATACATTTCTGTTTTTCCCAAGCCAACAAGTCTATGATATTTTGTCACAGTGGCCTGATCAGACTAAGCCACCTAGAAAAATTTCTGATACAGAAATAAGGAAGGCTGAGTGTGGCGACTCAGGCCTATAATCCCAGCACTTTGGGAGGCCCTGGTGGGAGTATTGCTTGAGGCCAGGAGTTCAAGACCAGCCTGAACAACATAGGGAGATCTCCTCCATCTCTACAAAAAATAAACAAAATTAGCCGGGCATAGTGGCATGTCCCTGGAGTCTCAACTACTTGAGAGGCTAAGGTGGGAGGTAATCACTGGTGCCTGGGAGGTTGATGGTGCAGTGAGCTGTGATGGTGTCACTGCACTCCAGTCTTGGTGATACAGTGACACCCCTGTCTCAAAAAAAAAAAAAAAAAGAAAAGAAAAAAAAAGAGAAAGAAATAAAGAAGCCTGCAGGCAGATCCTGTGAAAAATTCCCATTCAGGATGAAGAAAAAAAGAAAGAACTAATGAAACAGAATTCCTATCAGATGTGAAGATTACGGGGAGATGGGAGTTTATTTCCACTCTGCCTTAGGGGATGTACAGTCCCTCGGGAGAAGGAAAACTTGGGTAAAATATTGAGTCTCTAAGGAACAAAAGAGAAATCATAGTCCAGGGGATAAATACAAAGCCCTCATCTTGCTTAAACCTGAACCATATTCCCTAGGGAAGTGGCTGAGGAAGCTTCAACACTAAATTATATAATATATCAAGGTACATTATATCATTACATTGATATTAAATCTATTATGTCCTACCAAGTGACGGAAAGAATAATAATAAAGACTTTTTTTTTGTCTGCTGCTAGAGAGGAATCATACTTATATTAAAAATAATAATAATAAAAATAATAGGACACAATGAAATTTAAGTCTGATCTGTATCTTAGAATTAAAGAAACTAAAGCCTCAGAGCTTGAAATTGCCCTTCCAGGACCACAGTGGCAAATAAGAATAAGGAAACACTAAGGTTTTCTGGCCTAAGGAGAGTGTTTCTGAATTCCATGTACATTCATGTCCTCTTTGTTTTGAGATGGAAGTTCAGGGCTCAAAGATATGGCATTTACATTCCCATTCAACGCTGTCCTGATAATCAGTTGAAACCAGTGGAAAAATCTGTTCAAAAGGAGCAGATAATGTTCAGAGACACCAGTGAACCCAGTGGTTGCAGTGTCTAATCAGTAAGTTCCCTCTCCATGGACAGAACTCTCTTTGTTCTAGATGTAGGACTTTGATTCTGTGATACGGGGCAGTAACATAACCTTGCCTAGACTTTGGTTCCTTATTTTTGGATTAGGAACAATGTTCTTTGTTTCTATGCACCACCTGAGTCAAACCTACATTAGAGGCCAGCACCAGGTTGCCACGGCCTCTGCCTTTAACCTTATTGGTGATGAGAGGACTCAAGTGAATGAAGAAATGAAGAAATGAGGGATAAACCATTCTGTCCTGGTCCACCCTTCTCCCGTATCCCTTTGTCTTTCCAGCAGTCATGCTTGCATGTGGTAGCGCTGGCCTTCATGCTATTAGGCTAAAGTGGTGCTGGTCTCTGCTGTATTTGACTTCCTACAACTTGAAAAAGGGGAAGTCAGTGTCACTCAGTATCATGATAGCAGTAAAGGCAGATTATGTGGGTCCATATTAGGCTAGTCTCAGATAATCCCAGCATATACTCTACTCTTACGGGAGGAGAAATTGTGGGAAGAGCTGTGTTGCTCTTGAATGGAAGCTTTTTTTCCTGTGTCCACAGATACCCTCAGAGAAGAATGGCTCCTGGAAATGGCTTTTTCATGACTAAAATCATTTTGCTGGAGTTAACAGATCAGCCAGATCTCCAACTCCCTCTGTTCTTCCTGTTTCTAGTGTATGGTCACTGCGTTGGGAAATTTGGCTTGGTAACTCTCGTTGTGCTCAATTCACACCTTCATACCCCCATGTACTTTTTCCTCTTTAACTTGTCCTTCATAGATCTCTGTTATTCTTCTGTGTTTACACCCCAAATGCTGATGAACTTCATAACACAGAAGGATATTATCTCCCACATGGGGTGCATGTCCCAGCTTTTCTTTTTTCTTTATTTTTTTTTGGTATTTCTGAATGCTATGTGCTCACCTCAATGGCCTATGATCAGCATGTCACCATGATCACCATGTAGCCATCTGTAACCCACTTTTGTATAATATTGCCATGTCCCCCAAAGTGTACTCTCACCTTATGCTTGGTTTATACTTGCTAGCCTTTTCTAGTGCCATGGCCCACACTGGATGCATGCTGAGACTGACCTTCTGTGATGCAAACACCATCCATCCCTATTTGTGTGACATCCTCCCTCTGCTCCAGCTCTCTTGCACCGGCACCTACATCAATGAGCTGGTGGTTTCCATTGCAGCAGTCATTATTTTCCACTGTCACCATATTTATCTCTTGTGGTTGCAGCTCCTACATCATCCTCCACATCAACTCCAAGGAGGGCAGGTCCAAAGCCTTGAACACCTGCAGTTCCAACCTAATTGCTGTTTCTCTTAGTTTGGATCGTGTGCATTTATGTGTCTCAAACCATCTTCTGCTGGGTCCATGGATGAGGGAAAGATTTCTTCTGTCTTTTACACCAATACAGCTCCCTTGATGAACCCCTTAATCTACAGTTTGATGAATAAAATGTTCAACTTTCTCTGAGAAAAAAACCCTAGTAGGAAAAAATTTTGACTAGAAATAGTATCTTTCTGTGCATGTATTTTTAGGACAGGGAGCTTCTGTTGTTATTTATGATATTTTGGTAGTACTCTTCCTATTCTAATTCTTTCTTATTATAGTGAAGAAAATTTGAGTCTTCTCTCAATAATTTATTTTCCCTTTTCAAAGATCATGTTTTCCTCCTTTCCTCATCATTTGTATAATTCTTTTCTCCTCACATTTTTTCTTGTATAGTAGTAGCATTAGGGAAGAAATTTATATTTTTATAATGTCATTTTTAACATTACTTTTTCCTCTAGGAAAAGATAAATGGTCTGCAAATGATCAAGCAAATTAACACTTTCTGCATCACTGTGTTGTCAGAGGGGTGGAAATTATTATTCAACATTTGCCACTGGAGGTGGGAATCAGACAGTCTGTTTCTGCTACCATCTCTCCATCATCTTCTGGGCAAACATATGTCTCCTTTAAAAGCCAGAAATGAAAACCCTAGAAGAAAACCTAGGAAATACCATTCAGGACATAGGCATGGGCAAGGACTTCATGTCTAAAACACCAAAAGCAATGGCAACAAAAGCCAAAATTGACAAATGGGATCTAATTAAACTAAAGAGCTTCTGCACAGCAAAAGAAACTACCATCAGAGTGAACAGGCAACCTACAGAATGGGAGAAAATTTTCGCAACCTACTCATCTGACAAAGGGCTAATATCCAGAATCTACAATGAACTCAAACAAATCTACAAGAAAAAAACAAACAACCCTATCAAAAAGTGGGCAAAGGATATGAACAGACACTTCTCAAAAGAAGACATTTATGCAGCCAAAAAACACATGAAAAAATGCTCATCATCACTGGCCATCAGAGAAATGCAAATCAAAACCACAATGAGATACCATCTAACACCAGTTAGAATGGCAATCATTAAAAAGTCAGGAAACAACAGGTGCTGGAGAGGATGTGGAGAAATAGGAACACTTTTACACTGTTGGTGGGACTGTAAACTAGTTCAACCCTTGTGGAAGTCAGTGTGGCCATTCCTCAGGGATCTAGAACTAGAAATACCATTTGACCCAGCCATCCCATTACTGGGTATATACCCGAAGGACTATAAATCATGCTGCTATAAAGACACATGCACACGTATGTTTATTGCGGCACTATTCAGAATAGCAAAGACTTGGAACCAACCCAAATGTCCAATAACGATAGACTGGATTAAGAAAATGTGGCACATATACACCATGGAATACTATGCAGCCATAAAAAATGATGAGTTCATGTCCTTTGTAGGGACATGGATGAAACTGGAAACCATCATTCTCAGCAAACTATCGCAAGGACAAAAAATCAAACACCGCATGTTCTCACTCATAGGTGGGAATTGAACAATGAGAACACATGGACACAGGCAGGGGAACATCACACTCTGGGGACTGTTGTGGGGTCGGGGGAGGGGGTAGGGATAGCATTGGGAGATATACCTAATGCTAAATGACGAGTTAATGGGTGCAGCACACCAACATGGCACATGTCTACATATGTAACAAACCTGCACATTGTGCACATGTACCCTAAAACTTAAAGTGTAACAATAAAAAAAAAAAAAAAAAAGCCAGAGATGAAAAGTTTCTTAAGGACTAGTAAGTATAACCTACTTTGCAGCTTTAAACAGCATAGATTAAGCTTTTTTTTGGTCAAATAGTTTTCTTATTTATTTTTACACACAAACCAGCACATAAAAGAAGGACATTTATTTATTACATGGATGGGAAAGTGAAGCTCTTCATGGTAATGATTTACTTAGTCACACAACTTCTTAATGAAAAAGTCTAGACTAAACATTTTGCCTTCTGATTTCAAGTCCACTGCTCTTCTTAGTACATTTTGTTTCTGTTTTACTATTTTTATTTCAGTTAATATGGAATATAAGAAAACATTTCTAATTTGGAAATTGACTGTGCTTTGTTCCAGAATGATACATAAATGTCTAACAGAATGTGTATCGCTTCTTTTATGCTTGTTTAGGAAAACAGTTTGACGGTTCTTATTGTTGGGAAAGAGGACATCTTTTAAGCTAGTATGAAGTTAATGGGTGCAGCACACCAACATGGCACATGTATACATATGTAACAAACCTGCATATTGGGCACATATACCCTAAAACTTAAAGTATAATAAAAAAAAGAAATCTTAAATTGAGTCCATAAAGTAAAATATGGCACACTTTTAATAATCAATATAAGAATTATCCAATGTATGGCATATCTCAAATTGGATGAATTCTTTATCTGCAAATATGTTTCTTGGTATTTGTGGCTTCTTCATCTATGAAACTAAATTAATTACTGATTAATTAATTTTTTTTACTGTTAGCCTCAAAATACATTTTTTTTTATTATACTTTAAGTTTTAGGGTACATGTGCACATTGTGCAGGTTAGTTACATATGTATACATGTGCCATGCTGGTGCGCTGCACCCACTAACTCGTCATCTAGCATTAGGTATATCTCCCAATGCTATCCCTCCCCCCTCCCCCCACCCCACCACAGTCCCCAGAGTGTGATATTCCCCTTCCTGTGTCCATGTGATCTCATTGTTCAATTCCCACCTATGAGTGAGAATATGCGGTGTTTGGTTTTTTGTTCTTGCGATAGTTTACTGAGAATGATGGTTTCCAATTTCATCCATGTCCCTACAAAGGACATGAATGAACTCATCATTTTTTATGGCTGCATAGTATTCCATGGTGTATATGTGCCACATTTTCTTAATCCAGTCTATCATTGTTGGACATTTGGGTTGGTTCAAAATACATTTAAATGTTAAACGAATACTCTTTCTTAAAGAATATATGCTAAAGATAATTTAAAAAAGTCAAACAGGAGGTGAGTTTTTCGGAAAATAAAAAAATGACTTTGAAATGTTATCAGGATCATTTATTTGATAGATCTAAGCATGGGAGTGAAAGGACTCAAAGAGACACACGGCTGATAAATGAGATCCCTCTGTAGAGAATGGTCAGTAAGACTGTAGAAACCACTTTCATTTCCTGTTATTTTTAAATTTTTTAAATTATTTTTAATTTTGGCGAGTAATCTGAATTTGTATTCTATTCTGTGGAGCACCGTATCTTGTACTCTCCATTAAGCTTCGATAACAATTATAACATGCACATGGTGTTATTATTTGGGGAATGTAAATGGAAAAGCTGTGGCCACATTTGTGAGGAATTAGGTAGAGAAGGAATAGCAACAACTTCTTGATAAAAAAAATAATGAGTGGTGTTTGAAATTCTACTTAGGAAGACACAATTTAGAAAGTAAAATGATGGAAAATGAAATCCCTTACTTAGAATTCTCCTCTCCTTGGAGGCTCTAGGAAATTGTGGAGATCATAGGATTTATCTTAGTGGTGTAAAAGATGACATTGCTTGATATTAATTCCAGAGGGCTGGGAGTCCTAGGAACAGCCAAATCACACTTGCTTTTCTTGGTTTTCATGTGTTCCTTGCATATGGATTTTAAGCTATGAAAACCTCAAACTGTAGCTGAGAGAGATATGATAATTTGAAAAAAAATTGATTTACCAAATTTAACAAATCGTATCAGTCTTTTCTGGAATAGGAGGGTAGATTATTTTTCCTTTGGGAAATCAGACAAAAATATGACTACTCAAAAATCATCAATCTTATATAGAAATGGACAACTATTTTCTAACATAACTATAACGATATTTACTATTTTTCCATTTTATAATCTCTACTCAATATTTTGGTATTAAAAAATTCATCCTAACTTCTTTGTTGGCTTATTGTTTTTGATGTTCAGCATTACTAAATTTTTGACTTATGGTTTGAAATGGCTGCTCATTCCTGATTGCTGATCCTGGTATCAACATGCCTGATTTAACCCTTAACAAATTCTATTCTTACAAAATAGCTGAAGTTGGTTGGAGGTTTATTTTTACCATTTCTTTTATTTGCTGTCCCTTTTGATAAAATTATTTTCCTTAGTTAAAAAATGTATTTAAATAAGTAAATAATATCTGTGCTAGTTGGTACTCGGTGGACATTTCAGAGGTGTGTCCATACTTTATGTATTTTATCACTGTTTGAAATGGCCAAAGAGGTGGATTAAACTGGGTCACTGATCTTTCATGTGAAGACCCTCAAAATGCAGATGAAATCAGTTTTATTTTCAGAAAAGATAAACTTAAAAATATGTTCTAATCTAAAACTGAGAAATCCCATAAGTCTGGCACAGTCGGTTTTTCTCTCTAGCGTCAGGACATGTCACTCACTGTTAATTAAGCTTTGCACCAGATCAAGCATGTAGTTTATCTGCAGGCTTTGTTGTGCAAAAGAAATACTTTCTTTATTTTTTTTTTTTTCTGAGACGGAGTCTTGCTCTGTCACCCAGACTGGAGTGCAGTAGTGATCTCGGCTCACTGCAACCTCTGCCGCCCAGGTTCAAGCGATTCTCCTGCCTCAGCCTCCCAAGTAGCTGGGATTACAGGCATGTGCCATCACGCCTGGCTAATTTTTGTATTTTTAGTAGAGACAGGGTTTCACCATGTTGTCCAGGCTGGTCTCAAACTCCTGACCTCATGATCCACCAGCCAAAGTGCTGGGGTTACAAGCATGAGCTCCCGCACCCTGCCAAGAAATACCTTTAAACATTAAGTTATCACTCATTGATAGAAGCGTTCCCTTTGAGGGCAGAGACTTAATCGTCCTCAGTGAGGAGGAGGCTGGTGGAATCACTTGCACTGTTTAAAGTCTTTCTGCCATAGAGTTGAATTAACCCACTACAAACATCAATATAGAGACGTGTCCAGGTGTTGTAGTTTGTCTTTGGAGGAGAGTTGTGCACAGTTTCCTCTACACTGTCCCATCTGTCAGTCCCTGTGCTCCTCAGGAAGAAGTGGGAGGTAAATGAGCAAGGGAATCCCAGATTCAGTCCCACGGATGGTAGGTGTGGTGCTCAGAGATGTTGGTGGCTTGTTGTAGATTACAACATACAGGTGGTAGAGCTGGGATCAGGACTCGGGTGTTGGATTCTAAATTGATCAGGATTTTATTTTCTTTTTAATTATACAAAATTTTTCTACTTTAAAAATCAGTTAATTATGAATATTATTTTTAGTAAATAAAAATGTCTTGAAATACAAATAAAAGCAAAATACTCAAGAAAAAATGTCTTACGAGTATTCTTCATATTTCATATTTCATAGTTCTGTTGTTCAATTTAGAATACGTGAGTATGTTCTTATTTTCTTCTGGCCAATACAATAAATAAAAAAACAAGAATGGCCTAGATAAATCCTGATTTTTATTGGTTCTTACTAAGTTCCAGGGTGAGCAGTACATTTTTACATTTAATGTCTTATTTAATCTCACATTGATGATAATTGGCAGACACTGATATAATGATAGTTATATCATAGCAGTAATCTCTGCCACACTGGTATATAATGATATAACTATCATTATATACCAGTGTGGCAGAGATTACTGCTGTTCAATCTTCCTCCAAAACATACATTTCCCAGTCTTTCTTGCAGTGTGCTCTTGCATGTGACTGAGTTCCAGACGTGATGCACACTGTTTCAAGGCAAATGTGTGCCATTTCCACCTTCTCTTTGTCCTTCTCTGAGCAGGATACAGATGACAAAGATGCTCTCGTTAGTTATAAAGTTATAAAGCAAAGCCACACAATCAGGATGGGGAATGTAAAAATAGATGGAGCTACAATCAAGACGCAGCACATGGCGGGCCCTGGGGGTGCTGGTGATTTTTTACTTATAGATCTGTGTGGTGGTTAAAAGCTGCTCATTTTATAAAAATTGGTTGAAGTACATATTTTATATACTTTTACATCTATATCATCTATATATATGTATGCTATATTTCATAATACAATAAGTTTACAAAGCCCGAGCTCTACTTAAAGGGAACAATTAACTAATCTATAAACAGAGACGGAGAATAAAGCCTCGAATTACGGGAACAGCTTGTTAATACAGAATGGCTTATACGGAAGAGGAGCAGCAGTAGTATAAGACATACAGAAGAATCCAGTGCAGACCAGGGCAGAGAGTATTCTCATTTACTAAGTATGAGTTGAGGGATTTTCTCCGGTGTTTATAGGAGGATAAAAGTCAATATATAATCCCATTATATACATTTGTCATATATTATATAACATTGTGCTTAGCTTAAGGGTATCAAAATGAGGGCATATATATTTTTTCATCTTATGTAAGTTCATTTGCCCAATTATGGCAATTTATATCTTTCAATAATTGGTCCATTTCATTGGTTTGCAAATTAAATAACTGTAAATTTGTTCATAATATTCCCTTATTTTCCTTTAATGTGTGTAGGCTCTGTAGCCACATTCTCTGATGTATCTGATATTGCTAATTTTTGTCTTTTCCTTTTCTGCCCAAACTGTCTAGTTAGAGGAATATCACTTTTATTGATGTAAAAAGCACAGCTTTCAAATGAACTTATTTATATATTCTTCTATTTCCTACTTTTTCAACCATTATCTTTACTCTTATTTTCTGCTTATTTTGAATTAAAAATTTTTTTCTGGATATTTTATGAGATAGAAGTTTATGTCTAACTTGAAATCTCTCTTCTTTTCCAATATAGGCACTTGGATGCCATAAATTGCCATGTAAGCACTATATTTAACTATGTTTCATGTATTTTCATATGTTGTATTTACGTCTTCATTCACTTAAAAATATTTTCTGATTTCTGTTTTATTTCATGTTTTCGTTTATGTAAAGTTTACTCTTTTTTTCTGGAAACAGCTTTTTTTAGATAAAAACTAACACACCACGTAATTCACACATTTAAAGTGTGCAATGCAATGGTTTTGGCTTTACTCACAGAACTGTGCAACCATAACCATAATCAGTTTTAGAGCCTTCATGTCACCTCCAGAGGAAACCCCAAACCATTTAGCCATTGTCCTCCTATCTTCCACCCCGACCCTGGACAATGACCCATCTACTTTCTAGGGATGTTTTGTCTGTGGATTTGCAGCTATGGACATTTTATATCCATGGAGTAATATAGCATATGTTCTTTGTGACTGGCTTTCCTCGCTTGGCATATCGTTTTCATGGCTTATCCATGTTGTAACTTATAAATGTGCTTCATTCTTTTATCATATAATATTCCATTGTATGAATATGCCACATTTTGTTTACCCATTCATCAGTTAATGGATATTTTGATTTTTCTAGTTCTTGGCTATTATGAGTAATGGTGCTAATGAACATTCATATACAAGCTTTTATGTGGACATAGGTTTTCATTTCTCTTGGGAGAGAAAACACTGGGTTATATGGTAATTCTATTTTTAATGTTTTGTGGTACTGCTAGACTGGTTTTCAAAGTGACTGCATTATTTGATATTCCCACCAGTGACAACTTTTACAACCTCATCTCACCAGTGCTTGGTATTATCTTTTATTTTTTATAATTATAGTTATCCTAGTGTTTGTGTGTGGTAATATTTCATTGTGTTTTTGATTCACATTTCCCTCATTACCAGTGATATGGAGCATCTTTTTCTGTGTTTATTTGCTTTTTTAAATATCTTTTTGAAGAAATGTTTTATCAAATCCTGTCCTTATTTTAAAATTGGGTTGTCTTTTAATATTTTTATGCTGTTACAATACTCAGTGTATTCAGAATACTAGATCCTATCAGATATATGATTTGAAAACATTTCTCTTCTGTGGATTGTCTCTTAACTCTCTTGATAATGTCTTTTCTGATGTTTTCTTCTGAGAGCTTTATAATATTACTTCTTACATTTAGAGGCATGATTATACTTTTAATTTTTATAGTGTAGGTGTCCAATTTATTATTTTGAATATGAACATCCAGTTATTCCAGCACCATTTGTTGAAAAGACTGTTCTGTCTCCATTTAATTGTCTAGGCATCCCTCTCAAAAATAAACTGACCATAAATTATGTGTGTGTGTGCATGCGTGCATGCATGTATAATCTAGTAAGTACAGTGAATTTGTGTCTATTCGCTAATTCTTTTGTTTCTTCAATTGTTATTTATATGAGCTTCTTACTATACTGGCATCTTTTTTTTTTTTTTTTTTTTTTGAGATGGAGTCTTGCCCTGTCGTCCAGGCTGGTGTGCAATGGCATGATCTCGGCTCACTGCAACCTCTGCCTCCTGGGTTCATACAATTCTCCTGCCTCAGCCTCCTGAGTAGCTGAGATTACAGGCACTTACCACCATACTCAGCTAATTTGGTATCTGTTCTTTAAGGGCTACTATTCCCATTGGTTAACAGATAAAAATAAAGGTACAGGTGGTGGTAAAATGCTTGCAGATGACTATATTCATCATTTGTTATCATCCAGAACAGGAAGAGTGAAGGTGGGGAGGAAAGAGGAAGAGTTCTTCAGTGCTTTCTTTTCTTGAAACACTCTGAAAGAACTGCCTTAGCTTGTAAAACGCATGAGCTCAAATGCTTTTCATAGTGACAGAAGGGGAAGTGAAAGGAGAGTACAAAATACTTATCAAACTTTTCTTCTACCAGATTGCATTTTGTAATATTTTCTTCAGTTGTTAAAATTAGACATATATTCCAAGAATCTTAATTGAGTTTTGAGGCAAAATTCAATGCTTTATCCTACTTAAGAGTCTTCATTTGGATTATTCCTTAGAACATCTTTTTTCTTTTAATTAGTACAAATCTTATCTAAGTCAATAGTTCCCATCAGAGGGTGCTATTTACCTGTGTTACTACTGAAACATTAATTTCCACATGAGAAAATGTCCATGCTGTAATATGGACCACTTCAGCCACATGGCTACACGCCTTAATTCATAGGGAGCATTAGCTTAATTTTTCACACTGTATTCATTATGGTACAGAAGAAAATTCTTATTTTTATGGCAATTTACATTTGTAGGGCTTTCTCCTGAAGATCCAGTGCTCCCTCTGTTTTGCCATGGATTATATTCCAAAATATGTGGAGAATTTTAAGATCTAGCAAAAATTTTCCCTCCCACCAGCCCCTGGAAACCCATAAATACCCTACTTTCTGCTCCTGTTAATTTGACTATTTTAGATTCCATGTATAGGTGAGATCCTGCAGTGTTTCTCTCTGCGTCTTGTTTCTTTCACTTAGCATAGGTCCTCCTCATTTTAAGCGGTAATCTAAGACTTAGATACACCACTTTCTTTCCCATTTTGTGCATTTCTGACACTTAAGTAAAATGGTGGAGGATCAGAGAAGATTCATAGACATTAGGCACCTTAGGGAGAGTAGTACCTCAGTTACTACTATTTCTCTCCATAAACAGAACTCTCCCTGTTCTAGATGTAGGTCTTTTATTCTATGACATGTGCAGTAACTTAACATTTTCTAGATGCTGGTCCTTTGTGGATTAGAAACAGTGTTCTTTGTTCCCATCCCACCTGGGTCTAATCTGTATTAGAAGCCAGCACCCAGGTTGCTGAAGCCTCTACCTCCAATTTTCCTGGTGAAGTGAAAACTCAAGTGAATGGAGCAATGATGAGAGGAGAGAATGACGATTCTGTCCTGGTTATACAGGTTAAATATCCCTTATCCAAAATGCTTGGGGCCAGAAATGTTGTGGATTTCTTATCTTTTCAGATTTTGGAATATTTGCATTACATATTTAGGGGTAGAGCATGCCAAGTCTGAAAATTTGAAATCCAAATGCTCCAATGAACATTTTCTCTGAGCATTGTGTTGGTGCTCAAAAAGTTTCAGAGAACCAGTGTTTTGTTTCATTTATCTTTCTTTTTGTTGTTGTTGTTTCAATTTCATTTAGTTCTGCTCTGATCTTTGTTACTTCCTTTCTTCTGCGAGGTTTGGGTTTGGTTTGTTCTTGTTTCTCTAGTGCCTTGAGGTGTGACCTTAGAATGTTAGTTTGTGGTCTTTGAGTCTTTTTGATGTAGGCATTTAGGGATTTGAAGTTTCCCCTTAGCACTGCTTTTGCTGTATCCCAGAGGTTTTGATAGGTTTTGTCATTACTGTCATTCAGTTTGAAGAATTTTTAAATTTCTATGTTGATTTCGTTTTTGACTCAATGCTCATTCAGGAGCATGTTATTTAATTTCTATGTATTTGCATGGTTTTGAATCTTCCTTTTGGAGTTGATTTCCAGTTTTATTTCACTGTGGTCTGAGAGAATGCTTGATATAATTTCAATTTTCTTAAACTTACTGATGCTCATTTTATGACCTATCATATGCTCTATCTTGGAGGAAGTTCCATGCGGTGAACAGGGAACACTTCTACACTGCTGGAGGAAATGTAAACTAGTACAACCACTATGGGAAACAATGTGGAGATTCCTTAAAGAACTAAAAGTAGAACTACCATTTGATCCAGCAATCCCACTACTGGGTGTCTACCCAGAGTTAAAAAATCATTATACAAAAAAGATACTCGCACATGCATGTTTATAGGAGCACAATTCACAATTGCAAAATTGTGGAACCAACCCAAATGCCCATCAATCTATGAGTGGATAAAGAAACTGTGATATATTTATACAATGGAATACTACTGAGCCATAAAATGGAATGAATTAATGGCATTTGCAGCAACCTGGATGAGACTGGAGACTTATTCTAAGTGAAGTAACAGAAATGGAAAACCAAACATCGTGTATTCTCACTGATATGTGGGAGCTAAGCTTTGAGGACACAAAGGCATAAGAATGATACAATATGTAAGAATTAAAGAAAGAGGAAAGAAATACAAAGTGTGGCTCAACAGTCAACAATGACAGGTTTATTTTAGAAAACAAACCTGAGAGGGGCTTCTGGCTGAGTTAGGTCAGAGCCACACTCTCTTACAGACAGTTTCTTTAAGGATTCAGGGTGGGAGAGCTTATCAGAGGCTTGGACTGCTTCTGTGTTTCTTTGTTGTGCTCATCTGGGAGGGAGAGTTGTGTGTCTGTTCCCATACATCTTTCTGCAGCTGCAGGAATACCCCATGAGTCTGCTTTTAGCTTTCCTATCTTAGCATACCTGAAGGGAAAGGAATGTGTTTATTAAGGCCCATTGTTTTACTGGGGACTATTGAAGTTTGGCAGTTACCCAAAAGACTTTCCTCCCACCTTCCTCTGTGCCCGAGCTGTCTTATCTGTGTTTTACTGTCTGCTCTTTCTGGCTTCTTGTAGTTAGAAGAGAAGTGATTTCCTTGAAATCCATGAGGCTAGAAAGGGAGCTGGAACTTAAAGTGACTGAGATGATGGTGCTCCTGCTCTGTCACAGTGGACTTTGGGGACTTGGGGGGATGGATGGGAGGGGGGTGAGGGATAAAAGATTACAAATAGGATGCAGTGTATACTTCTCAGGTGATGGGTAAATCAAAATCTCACAAATCGCCACTAAAGAACTTACTCATGTGATCAAAACCACCTGTACCCCAATAACTTATGGAAAAATACAAAAAAGTTTAAAGAAAGAAAAACAAGTTTTAGATTTTGAAGCATTTGAAAATTTGAATTTTCAGATTTGAGATGCTCAACATGTAGCTGATAAGACATCATGAATGGACTATTCTAATTGGTTTAAGTGTTTTTAAGCACTTTTAGTATTTTTTTAAACTCAGTGTCTCACAATTAAAAATACAGAAAAAGTTGGAAAATGTTTACATTTTAAGACCACAGTGGTTTCTGTCTTAATTTCTTTATTTACCCCAAAGTCATCCAGGAGCATGTTGTTTAATTTCCATGTAATTGCATGATTTTGAGGAGGGAGAGAAGCAGAAAAAATAACTATTGGGTACTAGGCTTAAGAGCTGGGTGATGAAATAATCTGTACAACAAAACCCCCATGACATGAGTTGATCTATATAACCAAACTTCACATGCAGCCCTGAACCTAAAAGTTAAAAAAGGACCCCAATGGTATAATAAGCAAGGAACACTAATAAGAAGAACCAAAGATTTTATTTAAAGTTAATACCTGAAACTGTACAACTCTTCTACTCATCATACTGAATTAGTTTTACTCTTCAATATTTATTGAAAAGAAAATCATCTCCTCCAAGGTGTTCATTTCTTAAAATAATGCATTTTTTAAAAAATATCTCAAGAACGTAGCCTCCAGTTGATGATATCAGTTGGAAAGTTTCTAGCAACAAGTTATAGAATGTTCCAATAAAAACCTATTTTAATTAGGAACTATTTTTTCCTCATGTAACAATAAATCTGGAGGGAGCGTGTCCTAGGATTGATTTAGCAACTAAGCAATTCTCATCAACAACCAGGGCTTTTCATGCCACTGTCTTCAGTCTGCTAGTTTTAGACCTCAGGCTTATCACTTCACAATCACAAAATGGCTGTCATAGCTCCATGAATGACATCTAAACACAACTGTACCCAAAGATGGAAACAAGGCAACAAGAAATACAGCTCTCCATACATACCTCTCTTTATATCTATCACGAGGTGAATCCTTTCCAGAAGCTAGTCGATGGCTTCCCTTCTCCCTTTAATCATGTGGCTATGTCACATGGCCAATTTTAGATGTAAGGACAGATGACAATGAGTATGTCCTATGGCCTCTGCCTCTAATTTTATTGATGAGAGGCGGGAGGACGCAAGTGAATGAAGAAATGATGAGATGAGAGAATGCGGATTCTGTCCTAGTCCACCCTTCTCCCTTACCCCTTGGTCTTTCAGCAATCATGTTTGCATATGGCAGCACTGGCTGTAGGCTAAAGTGGCACTGCTCTTTGCTCTATCTAGTTTAATAAGACTCTAAAAAGCCTAAGTCAGTGTCACCCAAGTATCATGACTTTGGTAAAGCCAGATTCTGAGGATCCAGGTTGGGCTAGTTTCAAACAATATCCCACATTGTGGGAGAAAATACTGTGGGAAGAGCTGGGTTGTCCTCTAATGCAACACTTTTCTCCTTTGTCCACAGCTTTCCATAGAGAAGAATGGCTCCTGGAAATATTTCTACTGTGGCTGAATTAATTCTGGTGGGGTTAAAAGACCAGACAGATCTCCAACCGCCCCTGTTCTTCCTGTTTCTAGTAATGGGTGTGGTTGCTGGGTAGGGGAATTTGGGCTTGGTAACTCTGATTGTGTTCAGTTCATACTTTCATGCACCCATGTACTTTTTTCTTTTTAGTTTAGCTTTTATAGACCACTTTTATTCTTCTGTGTTTATTCCAAAAATGCTGATGAACTTCATAACAGAGAAGAATATTATTTCCTATGCGGGTTGCATGTCAGCTTTTTTTTCTTTCTTTTTTTTTTTTTTTGTTATTTCTGAATGCTATGTTTTGACGTCAATGGTCTCTGATCACTAGTGGCCATGGCCATCTGTAACCCGCTTCTGTATAACATTGCCATGTCCCCTAAAGTGTGTTCCAGCCATATGCTTGGTTCCTACTTCTGGCCCTTTTCTGGGGCCATGGCCCATACCAGGTGCATGCTGAAACTGACCTCCTGTGAGGCAAACACCATCAACCACTACTTCTGTGACACCCTTCATCTGCTCCAGCTCTCTTGCACCAGCACCTACGTCAGTGAGTTGATGGTTTTCATTGCAGCAGGCATCATTTTCACTGTGCCCAGTATCACCATCTTTATCTCTTATTTTTTTACCTCTCCATTATCCTATCAGCTTCACTGAGGGCTGGTCAAAATTTTTCAGCACCTGCAGTTTCCACAAAATTGCCATTTCTCTGTTCTTTGGATTAGGTGCATCATTGTGTCTTAAATTATCCTCAACTGGGACTATAAATGAAGGTAAAATATCTTCTGTCTTTCACATTGATGTAGTTCCCATGATAAACTCCTCAATTTACAGCTTAAGAAACAATGATGTTAAACTTGCCTGGAGAAAAATCCTAAGTTGGAGAAAATTTCCATTTGAAACTATCTCTCTCCATGCATATAGTTACAGGACAAGGAGATTCTGTGGGTTTAATTAAAATATTTTCAGTGGCAACTTTCTTATCTTGTTTCTTTCTTAAGAAAGAAAGACATTGCTCTGCAGGGACATGGATGAAGCTGGAAGCCATCATTCTCAGCAAACTAACACAGGAACAGAAAAGCAAATACCACATGTTCTCACTTATAAGTGCGGGTTGAACAATGAGAACACATGAACACAGGGAGGGGAACATCACATACCGGGGCCTCTCAGGGGTGGGGGACAAGAGGAGGGAGAGCATTAGGACAAATGCCTAATGTATGTGGGGCTTAAAACCTAGATGACGGGTTGATAGGTGCAGCAAACCACCATGATACATGTATACCTATGTAACAAACCTGCACGTTCAGCACATGTAACCCAGAACTTAAAGTAAACAAAAAAAGAAAAAGAAAGAAAGACATTGGAGTATTCTCTTGATAATTTATTTGTACTTTTTATAGAGTAGATCTTCCTATTTTCTTAATCATTGTATAATTTATTTTTCTCACTTTTTTCTTGTTGAGTAATAACTTTGAGGAAGAAGTTTATTATACCTGTTTCTTTATTCATTGCCATTTTGAACTTCATTTTGTTTTCTACTGGAAAAAATGAATAGCCTGACAATAAATGAACCAAGTAACAATAGAACAACATTGTTGTATTGGGATGGTTTTTTGCCACTTGCTGTTGGAAACATGAATTAGACAATCTATTTTAACTCTCATCTTTACATCCTCTACTGAGAAAATGGATGTTTCCTTTAAATGCCAGAGATTGAAAGTTTCATAAAGACTATCAATTATAACCCACTTTGCATCTATAAACACTGTTCATTATGCTTCCTTTGGCAAAGAGTTTTCTTATTTACCTTTGTGCCTTCAAAGTAGCATATAACAGATGTTCAATATGTGTTTATTGCATGGTCAGGAAAGGGAGGCTCAGAGTGGTTATTGATTTACTTATAGTCACCCAGCTTCTTAATGAAAAAACTTAGAATAAGCTATTAGCCTTCTGATTTTAAATTGACTACTCTTTCTAGTTTACTTTGCTTCTACTTCATTCTATTATTTTATTTCAGCAAGTACAATATATAAAAAAATTGCTATTTTGAATGTTGACTGCTTAGTTCTGAAATGAAACATGACTTTTTCTCAGGTAGGGTATTGTTTTTCCATTTATCTTGTGTGTATGTTTAGGAAAATCATTTGAAGGTTCTTTTTGTTGGGAAAGAGGAGGCCTGTTGAGCTGGTATAGTTGAAAGGTGAGTGGGTTAAACAGAGGGGAGACTTTTCAGCCAAATTTTTTAAAAAGGAGAATTTTGAATGTGTAAGTACTAGTAATTTAGAGAGTAGGGGCGTGGGAGAGGAAGGAGTCAGCAAAATGTCATTAAGTTAATACCCAAGAAGACACATGGCCAATAAATGCAAGGTCCCTCTGTGGGAAATGGTCAAAGAAGTTTTAGAAACTGCATTTTATTCCGAATTTGTATGCCATTCTGTAAAGTACTGTAATTATTCTGCATTATCCATTAAGCTTTGATTAAACACATAATCCACAGTGAATGTACATTAGTTTTGTCAAAAGATAAAATTATAACACATTTGATTTAAAGCTCTAATTGGCTTTTATTTGCCATTCTAGAATGGGGCAACACCTCATTCTGTAAAATAGAAGTAGGGGTATGGGAAAGAAAGGAGCCAGCAAAATGTCATCAAGTCAAGACTCAAAAAGACACATAACCAACCATTGATAATTGGTAGGCACCAATATGATTAGCCCAGTGTGTCAGAGATTGTTGCTGTTCACTGTTCTTCCAGAACACACATTTCCCAGTGTCTCCTGCAGTGCCGTGTGGCATGTGACTATTTTAGAGATGATGGATGCTATTCCAGGGCTACATTGTTCCCTTTTAACTTTCTCTTTGCCCTTTTCTGGGCTAGATGCAGATAACCAATGAAGCCACACTTAGGTGATGAAGCTATAACGAAAACCAGAGAGTGATTGCAATAGAATCAGGATAGAGAATGGAAGGATGGATGGAGCTACAATAAAAAGGGGGCACATAGAGGGCTCTGGGGTGCTGGTGATATTCTATTTATAGATCTGCATGGTGGTTAAAGCTGCTCATTTTATAGTAGGTGGAAGTATATATATTTTCTACATTTTTATATATGTATTTAAGCTAAATTTCACAATACAATAAGGTTATAAAACTTTGATTACAGCTATACTCAAGTGAACAGTAAACTAATCCATGAACAAGATTGAGAATAAGGCCTCAGTATGTGGGAACAACTTCCTAGTACAGATGGCTCACAGAAAGGAGAATCGGCAGAGGTAGGGTAACACTTTTAAAAAACTTAGAGTAATTCAGATCATAGCAAGGAAGAGATGATTGTCTTTACCACACCAGATGATAAATGTAGTCATTACTCTTGATGTCTGTGGGAGAAGAAAGTATAAATACAATCTCATGGTATAAATTTGTAGAGGGAGAGCATCAGGACAAACAGCTAATGCATTTGGGGCTTAAAACCTAATGCATTTGGGGTGCAGCAAACCACCATGGCACATGCATACCTATGTAGCAAACCTGCACGTTCTGCACATGTACACCAGAATTTAAAGTAAAAAAAGTAGTATGTTATATATCATTATGCTTAGCTTAATGAGTAATAAAGAGGGTAAAGTTCTCATTCCATAGCACGTAATTTTAAATTCTTAACCTTTCTACTTTATTGAGATAGTCTTTTCTAAAAGAAATACTCTAGGCATTATTTGTGATAGTTCTGTGATGAAAATAATTTGGGAATATATCAATATAGAAATGTTACGGATATAGGAAAGAATGTGCTTCAATCACTAGACCTATTATTAAGCAGCCTCCCTTGGGTGGCAATGCGGCTGTTAGGCAGGATTCATATCCAACACAGGGTCCATGCATGCACATCAGCCAATAGTAAGGGAGGGTTCCACAAGCCTGGCATGGGAACTAGGCAGGGAAGAGAAGGGGACTTAAGGCAGAAGCAGGAACCTGGACAAAGGAAAAGGCAGAGGCTCACGACAGAGGTGGGAACTTCAAGAAAGTGTCGGACATCATCTCAAAAACCCAGTGCAGAACTCTCAAGCTGCTGCTGGCTCACTCCCCTTCAGCAGCCAGCTCTGTCTCACCTTTCCAGAGTGTACTGTCTCTCTCTAAATAAGCTCTCTGCTATTTTTCTTCAACAAATTCTCTTTTTGGCTAATTCAGTCATTTGGTAGAATATTTTTCCAAGTAAGGCTAAAAATCTAGAATTCCTGAACTTCCCGTAACAGGGCTTGTTAGAGTTGCATTCTGGTAACTCTGATTCTCTTTCTCTTAGAGTATTCTCTAATTCCCCTAATTCAGAAACATGGCTGTCTTCTCAAGTGCTCTTGGAGATAACACCCCACCTGTCAGCTTTTAAATCGATATACATATTGAGTACCCTTAAAACACTGTAGAAGCAAATTTTTATAAATTTTTGTTTGTGATCATAAAAATATGTTTTTATGCAAAATAAAAGCAAACAACATCTCACTCTATGTATGGAGTTTTTCCTCCCTTGACATTTTTTCTCACTTTGGAAAAAAATTATGAAACCTGATGTCTTAGGTAATATACAGTGTTTCAGCTGAAAGCAACACACCCTGAATCCTTTGCTTAAACTTTAGGGGAAACGAAGTCAGGGAATAAGAAATCTCCAGTTCAGATCTCACAGCTTTGAAAGAGAAAGGTCAGTGAGAGTTTGGCCATGAATAATGGATAGCAGGAAAGGGCCAAGGAGGGAAGCGCTGAGTTGCTGATGGTTCAGGTCTTACACCTGAAAGTCAGCCTTACTTCTTTGCTTCTTTGCTGTTTCTGGAACAGGAAAGATCTAAACTAGAATCTCAGGATAGCCCTTGGCACAACATTTCTGTCAACCACATCCACACTGAGTACAAGAATCTCCTGGCCCACTCAAGTTTTCCATTCAAAGAACAGAAGTGAGCTAATGAGGGTCAGAATTGATTAGAACCATTTCCATACTTTTTTTTTTTGTACTAAGGTCTCTTTATAGACGTCTTTTATGTTTCTTATTTCCTAGTTTTAGCAAATGCTAATTATGTTGATTCATGTTGATGGGTAAGGAAACTGAAATGGACTACTTTTATATCATCAGAGCTGGATTAGAAGCCATGTTGTAACAAAGTCTGAAGGTTCTATTGGCATATGCTCAGATAAAGAAGGTAAGCAGTGTTGTTTTAATGGTAGCAATGACAAACTAATTAGATTTGGAAAGTTTGTGCTTCCTCCAGCAGTGAGGTAATTATGGGCATAAGCCTGGAAACAAAATGGGAGGACTCTTACTAAAAGAGGAGCATTCAACAGGGTTTTGGGTGAAATCAAGGTTCTTGGTTATACTCATAATATTTGCCCTTGATCTTGTAAGAGGTCCCTGAAAAGAGGCAATCATGGGACAGATGAGGCTCTCAGGAATGGAAGCAACCAACATGGGGCATGTCATTCTGCTTTGGGAATCAGAAAATAAATCTAATGTCTCTCTTTTCTCTTATTTCTTATTACACATAATACCTTAAAAGACATGGCTACTTCAAACCATTCTTCAGGGGCTGAGTTTATCCTGGCAGGCTTGACACAACGCCCAGAACTTCAACTGCCACTCTTCCTCCTGTTCCTTGGAATATATGTGGTCACAGTGGTGGGGAACCTGGGCATGATCTTCTTAATTGCTCTCAGTTCTCAACTTTACCCTCCAGTGTATTATTTTCTCAGTCATTTGTCTTTCATTGATCTCTGCTACTCCTCTGTCATTACCCCTAAGATGCTGGTGAACTTTGTTCCAGAGGAGAACATTATCTCCTTTCTGGAATGCATTACTCAACTTTATTTCTTCCTTATTTTTGTAATTGCAGAAGGCTACCTTCTGACAGCCATGGAATATGACCGTTATGTTGCTATCTGTCGCCCACTGCTTTACAATATTGTCATGTCCCACAGGGTCTGTTCCATAATGATGGCTGTGGTATACTCACTGGGTTTTCTGTGGGCCACAGTCCATACTACCCGCATGTCAGTGTTGTCATTCTGTAGGTCTCATACGGTCAGTCATTATTTTTGTGATATTCTCCCCTTATTGACTCTGTCTTGCTCCAGCACCCACATCAATGAGATTCTGCTGTTCATTATTGGAGGAGTTAATACCTTAGCAACTACACTGGCGGTCCTTATCTCTTATGCTTTCATTTTCTCTAGTATCCTTGGTATTCATTCCACTGAGGGGCAATCCAAAGCCTTTGGCACTTGTAGCTCCCATCTCTTGGCTGTGGGCATCTTTTTTGGGTCTATAACATTCATGTATTTCAAGCCCCCTTCCAGCACTACTATGGAAAAAGAGAAGGTGTCTTCTGTGTTCTACATCACAATAATCCCCATGCTGAATCCTCTAATCTATAGCCTGAGGAACAAGGATGTGAAAAATGCACTGAAGAAGATGACTAGGGGAAGGCAGTCATCCTGACAAAGAGGGTTCTCATTGGCAGCCAGAAAAAATAAACCATATAAAAAGTTGTTATAGGATCTTTGTAAGTTTCTGTCTCTCTCGGAGAGAGAAAAATTATCATCACTTAAAAATGTATATTTTATATTAGAGAATGATTAAGACATTTTTGGAGATTATGAAACAAAATTTTCTGATGGTCAATATAATCTTCGAAAATGTATTAGAGAAATGGGAGATGACAGAAGAGGAAGGGCAAATAAACATTAAAAACAATTTATTGAACATATTACTTTTGAAAGCCCAGGCTGGTCTTGAACTTCTGGCCTCAAGTAATCCTCCAAACTTGGCCTCCCAATGTGCTGGAATTAGAAGCCTGAGTCACGATCCTCAGCCTTGAAATAGTTGATTTAATGGATGACAGAGCATGATTCACAAAGACTTTTAAAGGCTGGAGTGATAGTCGCATTTAATGAGATTTTAAAAATGTACATGGGTAATATAAGATTCTATACTTCTATAAAAATGGAGAGAGTGGGAAAAACTTTATTTAACTCCAGAGAATTAAGGATTTTTGACAATATAAGTAAAAAGCATAACTACCTAGAAAGTTACTGTTACCTTGTCTGCATTAGCTACATTTTAGTATTTAGAATGAGGAACATTCTAGTTATCACTTGCACAACAGCAATTAGACTGTGTCCACTTGAAAGTAATTTACTTTGTTGATATTACTATTTAAGAGGCCACTGGCATTCTGAAATATATTCTGAGACGCATGGCCATGATGAAGCAACTTGAAATCACACATTCATTGATTTGTTTATTCTTTGGGTCATTCATTTAAGGAATACTCATTGAATGCCCACTACATACCTGTCACTATTCCTCATACTGGTGATAAAGAGATGAACAAAAGTCACAAACTCCTTGCCTTCATTAGATTTAGGTTTTAGCCTGAAAGAAAGGCAATAAACAGGGAGAAAAATACATCATAGAATCTCAGATCATAAAATGTCTTAGAAAATAAAGCCAAGAGGATAGAAATTGCTCACAGATATTAGAGGATAATTAAGTTACACATAGGAGTTACACACAGAAGGGCTGTAGGCTAGTTATTGAGGTTTTAGTAGTTCTTGCCACAGAGCACAAGTAGGCTAAAGAAGACTCTTCCAAAAATCAGAACTATCAAAAAATAATTAGCTATCTTGGGAATTTATGAACTATCCAGCAGTAGGGATTTAAGTACATATTCCAGACAGAATATTCAACCATTCTGTCTGGAATATTTCTGAGAAGAATCAAATGCTGGCTAAGAATATGACCAAACTGATCCCTTTGTTCATTGCTAACACTGAGGTTTTATGATCCATTCATTTCATCACCTTCTGATACTTTCTATTCCATCTCTTTTTATCCTTTCCACTATCTGAACATGCCTACTCCCCCTTTCCTATAATCTCTTTTATTCCCTTTCTCTTTTTCTTCCACTTTACAAGTTCCCATAAATCAGAACTAATTGTTTGGAAGTCCTAACTAGAGCAATCAGACAAGAGAAAGAAAGGGCATCCAAATTAGAAAGGAAGAAGTCAAGTTATCGTTGCTTGCAGATGACATGATCTTATGTTTAGAAAAGCCTAAAGATGCCACCAAAAAAAACTATTAGAACTGATTTGGAAAAGTTCAAATTCAATTTGAACTTTTTTTCTGGACTTTTTGAACTTTTCAGAGAAGTTCAAATTGTTCAGAAAAGTTTAAATTCATTTTGTACTACTGAACAAACTCAGTAAAGTTGCAAGATATAAAGTTGACATACAAAATCAGTAGCATTTCTACATGCCAACAGTGAGCAATCTGAAAAAGAAATTTAAGAAGTAATCCTATTTACAATACCTACAACTCAAATAAAATACCTAGAAATTAACCAAAGAAGTGAAATATCTCTACAATGAAAATTATAAAACATCGATGAAAGAAAGAGAACACACACACACACACACACACACACACACACACACACACACAAATAAAAAGTTATTCCAAGTTCACGGACTGGAAAAATCAATATTGTTAAAATGTTCATACTACCCATTGCACTCAATCTACCAATTCAGTGCAATCCCTATCAAAATATCACTGGCATTTTTTCACAGAAATGAAACAACAATCCTAAAATGTATGTGGAACCACAAAAGATATAGAATAGCCAAAGCTATCCTGAGCAGAACAAAACTAGAGGAACCACATTACCTCCCAAACTGGAGGAATCAAATTATACAACAAGCTATAGTAATCAAAAGAGCATGGTACTTGTATAAAAGCAGACACAAAGACCAATGGAACAGAATAGAGAACTCAGAAACAAATCCATACATATTCTCATTTTTGACAAAAGAGCCAACATACATTGGGGAAAGGATTGTCTGTTCAATACTTGATGCTGGAAAACTGAATATCCATACGCAAAAGAATGAAACTTGACCCCTGTCTCTCACCATATACAAAAATAAAATCAAAATGGACTAAAGACTTAAATACAAGACCTTAAACTATGAAACTACTAAAAGAAAACATTGGGGAAATTCTCAGAACATTGGAGTGGGCAAATAGTTCTTGAGGGATACTCCATAAGCACAGACAACCAAAGCAAAAATGGACAAACGGGATTACATCATATTAAAAAGCTTCTGCACAGCAAAGGAAACAATCAACAAAAGTGAAGAGATAACCCACAGAATGGAAGAAAATATTTGCCAAATATCCAACTGAAAAGGGATTAATAAGCAGAATATATAAGGAGCTTAAATGACTCTATGGGAAAAATCTAATGATCTGATTTTAAAAAGAGCAAAACATTTGAAATAAATTTCTCAAGAGAAGACATAAGAATGACAACATGTATATGAAAAGGTGCTCAACATCACCGATCATCAGAAAAATGCAAATCAAAACTACAATGAAATATCATCTCGCTCCAGTTAAAATGGCTTTTTTTTTTTTTTTTTTTTTTTTGAGATGGAATCTCTCTGTCACAGGCTGGAGTGCAGTGGCATGATCTCCCTCACTGCAACCTGCGCCTCCCGGGTTCAAGCGATCCTTCTGCCTCAGCCTCCTGAATAGCTGGGGTTACAGGTGCTTGCCACCACGCCTAATTTTTGTATTTTTAGTAGAGATGGGGTCTTACCATATTAGTCAGGCTGGTCTCAAACTCCTGACCTTAGGTGATCTGCCTGCCTTGGCCTCCCAAAGTGCTGGGATTACAGATGTGAGCCACCATGTCCAGCCTCAAACTGCATTTTGTAATATATATTACTTTATGACTTCCCTGTGAGGCAAATGAGGAATATTTTACAGATGAGAAAATTAAAGTTTGACAAGGTTAAATTGCCTTTTCCACAGATAGTAACTATAAAACCGAGATAAAAGTCTGAGTCTCCTAAATGCCAACCAGGATTATTTCTCTCTTTTCATCATAAACAATTATTGGTACGAAATTGAAAACATTTTTACCATGAATTCTGAATCAAAGAATAGTTGAACTACAAAAAAAATCCTTCTGCTTCTAGTATAAGTTTTTCTCATCATAAAAGTTCTAGCACTAAGAAATTTGAAAAATAATTTACTTAATTCTGATTATTTTATTGATAAGGAATCTAAGTCTTAGAGTCTCAATGACTTCCTTAGAGACACATATTTATTTTAATTAAATGAACATTATATATATAATTATATATAATATATATATATATGGTTAGTTCAATGCCCACTACACAGTGAGCATCTATAAGCAGTATTACTAATTATGATACTATAAAAAGGAGTAGTTGTTATAATTGATGATATTAGTATTGGGGCAGATTTGAAACTAAAACAAGATACTGAGTAAATCCAGTTCTGAATCAACTATATTAACATATTTTTTATGTGTAAACATTACTAGAGATCTGTGGATGCTTTATAGCTGACTTCATTAAAGAAGTGAGTCACTGGGGAAATCCTGTTTATTTCTGGCGGGACCAATACAAAAATGTTGAGGTGGCTCTTAAGAGCTACATCCCCTTTGACGGTGGCTCTACATCAGGAAAGCATAGAACTCATGTGACCTGGAATGGGAGGTACCCTGGACAGGGTGGAATAGATTAAAGCTTTTTAAGCCATTGAGTGACATAAACTGCAGTCACAGGGAATAGTACAGGAGCAGAGGCTGAACGATTACTGAATTCTGGTAATTAAAAATTGGTTCAGTGGAAAAGATTCCATGGAAGATATTTCTCAGGATCGTAGAAGATTTCTGATCTGAACTCTTTCACAGGAAGGACAACCAGGACATTCTATGTTGCTTATCTATGGTAACCAACTTTACAGTTCTCAGAATTTGGCTTTCCCAAGACAATATAATTTCCTTTTTTTTTGGAGATGGAGTCTTGCTCTTTTACCCAGGCTGGAGTGCAGTGGCACAACCTCGGCTCATTGCAACCTCCACCTCCCAGGTTCAGGCGATTCTCCTGCCTCCGGAATAGCTGAGATTACAAGCATGTGCAAACACGCCAGGCTAATTTTTGTATTTTCAGTAGAGATGGGTTTTCACCATGTTGGCCAGGCTGGTCTCAAACTCCTGACCTCAAGTGATCCACCTGCCTTGGCCTCCCAAAGTGCTGGGATTACAGGCGTGAGCCACTGCGCCCAGCCCCAAGACAATATAATTGCAATGAGAGACCACAATAGGGTTGCCAAAAATTTGGTTTTCCAAGTAAAGGCATTCAAATACAATGTAAAAATAAATAAGCAAGCAACCAAAAGACATAACTATTATCTACTGTCAGAACCATACAATAAAATGAAAGAATATTTCGAATCCCAAAACATTTAAAGAGGTAAAATTGACAACCTCAGAAAAGGACAGCCTTTGAATTGAATAAGTTTAGTTTTAGAAAAAATATTATGTTGTCTTTGTTTTTCTTCAGTTTAAAACAATTTTTACTCATTGATGAACTTTTAGTCAAGAACCAGCAACTGACTTCGGAATCAATTTTGGGAATCATTGATCTAATTCCTCTGTGTTACAGAATCCTTATTGGTAACATTAAAAATAAAATAAGAAACTTCTTTCAGGACCTCCAACACTCTTGGGATAAACGGCAATAGGGGGCCCAGGACATGATGTGATCATTTCTGCAGAGGGTTATTAAATGTTGGGCACACCAGTAATCTCTGGGCTCAATAGGTCTTGGGGGATTTGTGTGTGTATGGGTGTGTTTTTATTCCTAATGATATCCCTAAGCTCACTAAACCTCAGATGAAAGCTGCATATCATGCCGCCCTCTTGCTTTTAAGATTGGGGGAGCTGGATATCATGATCTGCTTCAAGGTCCAAGAGTTGTTTGTACTATTTAATAAATTTTGATGTTTTACTTTTAGCCAACCAAATAATTCAGCCCTTGGCATATAAATGTGTGTATAAGGTAGTGGGAAAGACTTTGTTCTTTGTTGGCTATTACAGGGATCTGCGACCTGAGCAAAGTGAACAATTCCTAAGAAATTCTGTTTCTGTGCAGGACCAAGGTAAGTGTCCCATCTCCTTTATGACCATCATATTATATCTAATGCAAGGGCAATTGGCGATTAACAACCGTGCTGACCCTTGTGCAACATTTTCTCTTTACTGAGGAGCACCTGCCCCACTGTTCTCTCCTCTAGGTTATGTCCTCCCTTCTCCTCTTCTATTGATTTTGCCTTGTCACTTCTTTATAACCTGGGTCACAAAATCTGCAGGAATGATTCCTAGTCTAAGTTCAACCAGCTCTGGTGCAGGAATTTCCATATGACTGAAGTGTTTGCTTCCCTGAAATTCTTCTGGCTTACGTATTTATTAGTGTTACTTGTCTTCTTGCACACCATCCTACACATACAAATTTCTTTCTTTTTTTCTTTTTCTTTCCTCTTTTTCTTTCTTTCCTTTTTCTCTTTCTTTTCTTTCTTTCCTTCCTTCCTTTTTTCTTTCTCTCTCTCTCTCCTTCCTTCCCTCCTTCCTTCCCTCCCTCCCTCCTTCTTTCTTTCCTTCTTTCTTTTCTTTCTTTCTTTCTTTCCTTCCTTCTTTTTCTTTCCTTTCGAGATGGAGTCTTGCTCTGTCACCCGCGCTGGAGTGCAGTGTCACGATCTTGGCTCATTGCAACCTCTGCCTCCCAGGTTCAAGCGATTCTCCTGCCTCAGGCTCCCGAGTAGCTAGGATTACAGATGCTTACCACCACGTCCAGATAATTTTTGTGTTTTTAGTAGAGACAGGGTTTCACCATGTTGGCAAGGCTAATCTTGAACTCCTGATTTCAGGTGATCCGCTCACCTCAGCCTCCCAAAGTTCTGGGATTACATGGATGAGGCACCACGCCTGGCTCAAATTTCTAAGAGATAAAGATACAATCCCAGGTAGAGTATTCATTTTGGACAGAGTATTAAACATAAATTCCTACCTTCTCATCCATCTAAAGAAATGTTCTCCCAGCACTTTGGGAGGCCGAGGTGGGTGGATCACCTGAGGTCAGGAGTTTGAGACCAGCCTGGCCAACATGGTGAAACCTTGTCTTTACTAAAAATACAAAAATTACCTGAGCTTGGTGGTGCATGCCTGTAATCCCACCTACTCAGGAGGCTTAGACAGGAGAATTGCTTGAATCTGGGAGGCAGAGGTTGCAATGAGCCGAGATGGCGCCATTGCACTCCAGCCTGGGCGACAGAGCAAAACTCTATCTCAAAAAAAAAAAAAAAAAGAAAGAAAGAAAGAAAAATGTTCTGAGGTCACTAGGAGATGGATCAAGAGTCCATTCAGCTTGCATAGCTCTGCTGTGTTTCCTCCTGGCCTCATAAGCACATGTCCCTTGGAGATGAAAACACTTCAGTGCCCCCAACTCCTTCAAAAAAGGCCAAACACTTTAAATCCCTCTCAAAATTTCCAAATCTGAAAACAAACATTTTAAAACCTAACCAGCACCAAATGTTTAAAACATTTTGGTTATTCTTACCAAAGTGAAGGACCTAGGGCAAAGAAACACATGTGTCTGTCTTTTCTTCATACAAAGGTAGTGTATTTTCATCTCCTGATGTTATGTACTTTTCTCTGTTCAATTGTATTTAACAATATGTGCCACATGAAATGTTGACAAGTGTTTTTAGATAATGAATCTTTACATTTACCATTTTACCTTTGAAACAGGTATCCCACTTCACAGATTAGAACAATGAAGTTTACATGAAATGACTTGCCCAGTGTTACAAACTGGTCTGCAGTAAAGTCAACCCTTGAAATACACCTACTTTGATACCCAAACCTTTCCATTCATTGCTGAGTAGACTATAGTTCACCTCATTAAGCTCATTCAATATTTCTGTTGTCAAATAGACATTGGAAGTGCTGAGTTTGCAAAACTGAACAGGTTTCTTTCTAGCTGGACTATTTGGAGCCTTAAATGAATAACTGGCACCTGACAACACACACACTCCTCTGAAATGGCTCCACCAGGGAGCCAGTTCATGTTGAAAAGGGTGGACCAACTAGATTCTAGTGCTTCTTCTGGGAAAAGTACAGCATTCTCTTTTATTTCTTTGTATCCAGGGCCCAAACCACCAAGGGTACCACGCTTTGGAAAGTTCAAGATTTACACCCATAGCAACATTCTTCTCAGACACCTTCAGAAGCACCTTTTCCTGCCACCGTAAGGTCTGTTCTGTGGGGTGTGCGGATCTCGTAAGTCAGGGGGGAAGTAGTTCACTGCTAGGATTCCAGCCAGCCAACTCTTCTGGCAATAGTTGAGGTCCGATAAGACTCTGTGAACTTTATAGATGAACACCTGGGTTACAAGAGATTGTTCTCATCAGTGATTCCAATGATGAAGCTTTTGCCTCCCCCACCCTTCTCCAGCTTAGCAGAGGGCCAGAGGTATTATGTGGAGACTCCCACTTCTGCAGTATTTTTACACTGGAGGTATTTTTATTCAGCATAATGAGTAGATGCCTTACACCCAACCCCATGCCCACCATCACTCCAGTTGGAAGTAATAGACACTTTCAATTCTCCGAGGCTGAGGCGTCATCCTCTCCTTGTTTTCAGATATTGTGAGAAATATGTGCAGGCCTTTGAGTAGGAGAAAACTGGGGAAATTGAAAAAGTGATTGAATCTTCCTTCAATCTCTTCTACTGTTTAACTGTGACAAATTGGCTATCAGAAATTCTCCCCACAAAGTAAACATTTGCTTTTTTTCTACCAAATTCAGGAGGCAAATGTTACTGAGTCAGTCAGGAAGTACTTTTTTGTAACTTAAATTCTGGACCAACTTGGAGAAGGCCCAGGGAACTTTAGGGAGACAAAGCAGAGGTATCAAGTTTAGAGACAATGAAAACTATGACTCAGTCTGTTAGCTGCTGTCAACCTCCCTTATGCAATTTGGTTTTGTTTGGAAGAGCAGTGAGGGTCCATGTTAAGGTAATTCATACTTTCTATTTTCACAGAAATGCCTAAAGAAGAATGACCATGGAAAATTATTCTATGGCAGCTCAGTTTGTCTTAGATGGTTTAACACAGCAAGCAGAGCTCCAGCTGCCCCTCTTCCTCCTGTTCCTGGGAATCTATGTGGTCACAGTAGTGGGCAACCTGGGCATGATTCTCCTGATTGCAGTCAGCCCTCTACTTCACACCCCCATGTACTATTTCCTCAGCAGCTTGTCCTTCGTCGATTTCTGCTATTCCTCTGTCATTACTCCCAAAATGCTGGTGAACTTCCTAGGAAAGAAGAATACAATCCTTTACTCTGAGTGCATGGTCCAGCTCTTTTTCTTTGTGGTCTTTGTGGTGGCTGAGGGTTACCTCCTGACTGCCATGGCATATGATCGCTATGTTGCCATCTGTAGCCCACTGCTTTATAATGCGATCATGTCCTCATGGGTCTGCTCACTGCTAGTGCTGGCTGCCTTCTTCTTGGGCTTTCTCTCTGCCTTGACTCATACAAGTGCCATGATGAAACTGTCCTTTTGCAAATCCCACATTATCAACCATTACTTCTGTGATGTTCTTCCCCTCCTCAATCTCTCCTGCTCCAACACACACCTCAATGAGCTTCTACTTTTTATCATTGCGGGGTTTAACACCTTGGTGCCCACCCTAGCTGTTGCTGTCTCCTATGCCTTCATCCTCTACAGCATCCTTCACATCCGCTCCTCAGAGGGCCGGTCCAAAGCTTTTGGAACATGCAGCTCTCATCTCATGGCTGTGGTGATCTTCTTTGGGTCCATTACCTTCATGTATTTCAAGCCCCCTTCAAGTAACTCCCTGGACCAGGAGAAGGTGTCCTCTGTGTTCTACACCACGGTGATCCCCATGCTGAACCCTTTAATATACAGTCTGAGGAATAAGGATGTGAAGAAAGCATTAAGGAAGGTCTTAGTAGGAAAATGAGTCCTGATTTGGGGGATTTATAGATGGGAAAAATGAATAGTTCCAATGAACATATATTCCTTTTTTCTATTTTCATGTTCTTCTGTTGTAACATACATAATATCTAGATTTTAAAAATACTTTCCCATCTATGATTGATTCAACTTTCTCAACAAAATAAAAGAATTGTGTAAAGCAGGTATTAACATTCTTATCTTTTGATAGGAAAACTAAGGTCTAGGTAGTTTTAATTTCTTTTACCAATTGTGATAGAAAAGACATGAGAATTCAGATTTTCTCCAATGTTAGTCCTCTCTTCCTAATATCCCATGTTTGCTTGTTGAATACTTGCTATGTGGGAGGTACTGAGTTGTCCACTGATATGAATGCTAAGAGGTATGTTAGCCTGATCCCAGATATCTATTAATTCTTCAGGGAATTAGACAAATACACAAGGGAAAAGAACAGAAAAGAAAAGAAAAAAGAAAAGAAAAGGAAAGAATAGAAAAGAAAAGAAAAAGTTAAGAACAAGAATGGCAATTCTAGTCAGCAGGTCTTATTCGAATCGCTTTTACTATTTTTTTTTCTACTCAGTATATTAAAAATCTCTTTATTTTCATTTCCTTGTTGTTCTTCATGGATCTGGTTTTGTTTTTTTTGTATTTGTATATCTACTTTAACACCACAGTTCTACACTAAGGGACCTCTGACCATGTGTTTTCACTATCTATTGCAATGGAGTTGCCTAAGGTTGAAAAACCTTCCTCATAGGGAAGATATAACCCCCACATTTGTTTCAGTTGGAGAACTGTCCTCTGCAGATTCCTGAACTGAAGCTGTGGTCCATGTTTTTGAGCATGTGACCTTACAGTAAAAGTAGGTACCAAGAGCTCTGTATACAATGCTTTTCTTGGGTTTTCACAGGTCTTAGGTCTCATGTAACATTTCCTTCTGTTTTTGTTTTTAGCTTTTGTATGTTGCTGGGTAGTAATAAGATGCCTCTACTGTTCTGCATCCCTCAGCTGTTTTCTCTTCTTCCCAGGAATATTCCATTGAATTTCTAGCATTTTAACTTCCATATCAAGTTAGTTTTCTTCACTCTATATCACATATTAAACCATTAGTGTTTGCTGAAATTAGTTGCCTTTCTCCCTTTACTTTTTCTTTGTTTTTGCCAAAATAATTTTTACAACCTAATACTCTAGATTTTAGCTTAAAGAATCATTCCAAGCAAGAAATAAGAAATCAGTAAATTTTGTATCTACCAAAATCCTACTGTTCTAACAAAGCTTGTCTACCTTTAGCTCCTACATTTTGATAATCTCACCCAGAATACATCTTCCTATCAGTTTGTTGAACCAGGTCCTAAACATTTACCGTGGCCTTGCTCACCTTCCCCTTAATACATCTTCTCTTCTGTATGCCTTGCTCTAATATTTTTTAATGTTATCTTAGAGTTTCTCAGATACAGTGCCTATATCTTCTCAAGTCCTCCCATTCCTTAAGATCTTTTTGAGGGGGACACATAGTACTTACTCTTTTTCAGCAGCTTTAATAGTGCAATTAACACTTTTCTGAATCCAGGATCCTGACCTTCAAATTATCATTTGGTGCCACATAGTTTTCTAACCTGTCCTCTTCTCTCTCTTATTCCAGTTTAATTAACTTATTTTACTTTTAGTCTCATTTTTCTTCTGCTCTTGTTAGGGTTATAAAACTGAAGCATTCTTTCTAAATCACTTTATTTTCTAAGCAGATTTGATTCTTAGAAACAGGGTGTTCCAAACCCAGATTTTAAAACTGTATTCTTAGTTGTTAGCTTTGCAATAATTCAATTGAACTGTTTCTCTTTCTCAGTATATTTAGATGCAATATTATTTTTATGCTAAGACCCTCTTCCCCCGTTATTTTTATTTTTATTTTTTATTTTTTGGTTCATGAGTGAAATCTACCACCCCTTTAAAGGGAAAGCTCCAATTTAGAAGATGGGTATTTGTAGCCCTGCTCAGAACTTATACATTTAACAAATCCAGGGAGAGCTTGAGACCATTTGGTGAGAGTTAACCCTCAAGCATGTGGACAAGCTGGAAAACTGTGAAAATAACCAATTATTATCCCATCCCCTGTGTCTAAAATACCTTTATATGAAAATATTCTCTTTTCCCTATAATCATATCATGACTTTCTTGAAAAAAGCTTCCCCTTTGTGTTCAATTTTAAGCTGCACCAATATTTTCTGATTCTTAAGTGGCTTTCGCAGTTGCTAAGGTTGCTCAAACTATCCAGCCTACAATTACTTAGGATTATAGGACCCAGGGCTTTGTGGAGCCTCACTTTGCTCACATTTTTCAGAAGACAGCCTTTCCTGAGGCATTTGCCTTTTGCTTAGGGCCTAGCACTAGCAGCATGATCTCCAGGGGAATGAATCTGTGCTCTTCTAAAGTTATTCACTTATTTGTAAACAACTCTTCTGTATATGCACCAGTGGAAGTTAAAATCTTACATTGTCAGAGGTCAGGAACCACAGCTGCCTGCTGGGATCACTACAGTTAAAAGTTACACATAAACTGTAAACTATAAAATATTGCAAAATAAATGTCACTGCATGCTCCTGAGGTCAAAATCCTCTCTCCTCATGGAAAGTCCCAAACTTGTAAGTACACTTTTGTACTTAAATCTACTTTTGCTGTTAAGTTCTTCATAACCCTGGTCCAAACCACCAGATACTGGTTGTTTGGCAAGGTATATTTTGGGGCAAATAAATTTCTTAATACCAAGCTCTAGCATTAGACAAAATTGCCACTTGAACCATAGAAAATGCTGGATCCCTGTAGGTCTCTATTAGTAGAGGTAGAATTTCATAGGCAAGGATAACCAAGGATATATTGTTTCTAAAATATGCTAACTCTCAAAAAGAACAACAAAAAAGAGAACCATTTCTTTTTCACAACTAATCATCAGAAAAGTCATCCCACCTTCCTGGGGAAAGTGAGTAAAGGTGTGAAACAGAGGCGGGAGTATTAGAGTAATAGGTGTTCCTCCTCAGGGATGGGAACATCAGAAGCCAGGAGAGGTGTCTCATTCTTCCTACATATACCCTAGGATTTAGAAAAACAGATTCCAATCAGTTAAGAGTAAAAAAAATGGCAAGGCTATTTTAGAGAAAAGTAGAATCAAGAAATACAGAAGATTCAAAATTATAATTGGGAAATTCGAAGTAACTCTTAAGAAAAGTGACACAAAATCCTTTTTCTGCTGAAAAAACCCTCATCAGCACACTATTAGGATGTTTTTGTCTTACTACAGAAGGGAAAATAAGGACAATGGAGAAGAGAAAAAGAATTTTAGCTGACCAAAATAAAAATACGTAAATGGTGATTTGAAGTTAATACAAAAAAGATTAATATCCCATAGAAAAGTATGCAGAAGTTTCACTGTGAATATTATATGAATATTATATATATAATATTCATTATATATATATAGTAGCTATTAAACTTGGTCAACCATACTAAAAATAAAAATTCAAATAAAATAAGTCATATACTTATTTACCTGTGAAATGGTAAATAATATTTTAATAAATCTTAAAGGTGAGGTAAACAAGAATGATAATATATATAGATAACTGTATTAATTTCTGTAAGACAGGTTGATAATATATATCAAATAATATACGCCAAATAATTCCACACAATTTTACCACGTTATTCAATTTCTAGGCATGCATACTTAAGAAATAAAAGTGACATTGTCAAAGGCAGAGCTATAAATATATTGACAGTAACAAAATAATGAATTGAGTTAAATGTTCTTCAAAGTTATAGGTTTGAGTAAGATTCAGATATCCAGTAGAATAAATATGGTATCATTAAAATAATTTTGTGAAATAGTACTGGCAGGGACAATATGCAAAGTATATAGTAAGTTAAGAAGACGGGCATGATAAATGATACTGATATGTATGACGGCTTGAATGAAAAATCCGTAGTGCTTTAACAGACATTCTTTCTTTTCATATTGAAAGAAGTGTGTAGCATAAAATAAATGAGGATAATGTTTTAGGGGTGTTTTAACATTATTTTTGTGTGTCTGTGTTGAATACAGGGGATTCAAAGGGCTTTATCTTCTACTCCAATCAGTTTTTAAGATATTCCTCCACTGCATTTTAATGAATTTTATATATGTATACACAGAAAATGCACCAAGAGTATAGCTCTTTAAATTGCTAATGATGTTTATATCTATTTAGTGACTCTCCAGGTAAAGATATAGAATATTAGCATCACTCCTGGAGGCCCCCTTTTGCTTTTCCCGAGTCAATACCCATCTTCAAGAAGTACCCACTATATTGACTTGTACAATTGGTCATTTTCTTTTTTTTTTGAACTGTATACAAACTTTTCTCATACTCCATTATAATCCTTCCCTCAACCTTTTTCCACCCTTTCCTAGGCAATCATGAATCCACTTTTGTCATTGTAGATTATTAGCATTTCCAAGAATTTTGTGTTTATAAGGCCATACAGTATATACTCTTTACTTGATGTCTTTTATTCGGCATAATTACTTTCAGATTCACCATGATTTGCATGCATCATAGCACTATCAACTTGCCTTGACATTTTCCTTTGTTAAGATCAACTGACCATCTATATAGGGACCTACTTTGTACCCTATATTCTATTGTCTATCTTTATTATTTTCAGGCATACGCACTGATGGAAATCAATGAGGAAAAGAAAATCTGTTCAACAGATTGTTCTGATTGACTAGATGTCTGTATCCAAAAGCTGAACCTGATTCAATGCCTGACACCATACACACACACTAACTAGAGATTGATTACAGAAGGGAGCATAAGAGCTATCTTTGTGACTGGGAGGTAGTCAAACATTTCTTACATAGAATACCAAGAAAAATGATAAATGTGACTCCATCAAAATTTAAAATTTTTTATTATTAAAAGACACTATTTTAGAATAAAAAAAGTGCACACACAGGCTGGAAAAATAATGTACACACACACATATACAAACACAAAACAAATGTGTCCAACAAATGACTTATATCCAACTTTTATAAATAATTCCTACAACCAATTATTAAAAAAATGAGTAAAAGAAACTTTATATGAACTGTATACTAGGGCTTACAAATACATTAGGCCATTTCAATATTAATAGTCATCAGGAAAATTCAAATTAAAACCATGAAGAGATACCATTACACACCCACTAGAAGGGTTAAAATTTAAAAGATTAAAATATCCAGTATTGGAGAGGATTCAGAGAAATGGCATCTCTCAAATTTTACATGTTGTAGTGTAAAATGTTAAACAGTGCAGAAATAAAAATATACTAGAATGTCTATTAAATCTTTATTCATAATAGCAAAAAAATCAAGAAATGTCCGTCATCTGATAAATGGAGAAGGAAATTATGGAATATATGTATAATGGAACACCACTTAGTAATAAAAAGGGACAATCTATCGAGGCATGCAACCAAACAGATGAATATCATTTAATAATATGTCTAGGCCAAGAAACCACAAACACAAGAGTACACACAGTATAAATCAATTTATTTCAAGTGCAAGAATAGGCAATATAAACCTGTGAAGATAAAATTCATAATGATGATTGTTTCTTTGGAAGAAGTAAATACTCATACTGGATATAAACACAAAAAAACTTTCTCAGGTGATAGCAATGGCCTACATTAGAGACTGACATGTTTTCTCTAAAAAACCAGATAACAAATAGTTTAGAGTTCACAGACCATAAGGATTCCATTGTAACTACTGAACTATTATATTGTAATGAATGAATGTGGTCTTGTACAATACAATTTTATTTATAAACACTAAAATTTAAATTTTATGTAATTTTATTTTGATTTTTTTCAACCATTTAAAAATGTAAAAAGTGATATTAGCTCATAAACAATACTAAACTCTGGGCTGGATTTGCCCCATAACCCATATTTTGCACCACTACTCTTTATCTTGATAGGTGTGCTAGTTATTTGAATGAATGTATTTATCAAAACTCATTGAATTATATACTTAATACCTGTTCATTTTGCTATATGTAATTATTTTGAAATGATTATAATATAAAAATAAGAAAACAGAGGACTTTATGACTTCAAGTGAGCATAATTTTTAAAGAAAATGAATCATAAATACAGCCACATTAAAAAACTTTACAATAAAAGGCATCATACATAAAGCTAAAGGCAAGCTACAAATCAGAAAAGGATAACTGAAACACAAAATAATTGATATCTATAATTTTAAAAGCCCCACAAATTAATAAGCAAAGGACAAAAAGCCTAATAGAAAACCAGGCAAAAGATATAAGCAGCAATTTACATTGAAAACAGAACGTCCAGTAGCCAATAAACAAATGGAACAATGTTTAACTTCACAGAATCAGCCAAATACGACCGTTTACTATACTACATGTCAAGGACTCATATGGTTTAGCCCTGTGTCCACATCCACGTGTCGACAGAGGGACCTGTAATCCCCGTGTGTCAAGAGAGGGAGGTGGTTGGATTATGGGGGCAGTTTCCTCCATGCTGTTCTTGTAATAGTGAGTGAATTCTCACAAGATCTGATGGTTTTATAAATGGTAGTTTTTCCTGCTCTGTCTCACACCTCCCGCCATGTGAGATGTGCCTGCGTTCCCTTCTGCTATGATTGTAAGTTTCCTGAGGCTTCCCCAGCCATGTAGAACTGTGAGTCAATTAAACCTCTCTTCTTTATGAATAACCTAGTCTCCAGCAGTTCCTTATAGCAATGTGAAAACGGATTAATACAGACTCATTTCTGAACTGTCTGTAGTTTTGGTCTCCTTATTCCTTCCTAGTAAGGAGTTCATGAGTAAATCAGGAGACAGGAAGCCCTGGCTCCAGATTCACTTGTGAAACTGCATTCCTGCATATACTCATTTGTAAAGAAATCACACTACTCCAATTCTTCCTTTCTTATAAAACCGTTATGAGAGTAAGATAAGTTAAATATGTGAATAAATAAAACTGTAAATCTTTATAAATTTGATACAATATCATTTGTTATGATTCATCTGACTTGAAAACTATGAAGCCCTTTCTTCTTTAAGGGCTTGGATTTTTTTTTTCCTAAAATGGGTACAGGCAAAGATGTATATGCACTTCTGAGGAAGCTATCAGTTTTATGGCTATAGACCTGAAAGAGAATCTCAACATATTGAGAAATAGTTATTTGTAATGAAATGTCAGACCCAATACATATACACATACCTTTCTGCATGAAAGTTTACGATCTATTTAGGAGTGATAACATCATCCACAAACATTAATCTCTCACAAACATTCACAGTGTCTTAACATGCCTGGGAAGGAAACAATACAGTGTTTCTCAAATTGTGGACAAGGCACAGCTGAAGATAGACTTGGGAAAACTCATGTAAAGAATAAACAGAGTTCATTTTCTTAAAAACCTAATTTGGCTTAAAAATGTGATGGTGTAAACCCAGCAATTTTTATGTTAAAATTGTTGATGTAAGAGAAGTTTGAATATAAATGAGACTTAAAAATTGCCTCAATTTTAACCTGCCTTCTCTTCCTCATTTCATGCCTTTAGCATATTAACTCTTGTCTGCCATTTAAGTTACTTTAGCAGAAAAATTTAAGAATTATCAAAAGAGCATAGAACCAGCACTTAGAAGACTTGCATTGGAAACCTGGCTCCAGCACAAAATGCGTAAGCCTCTGTCTTCCACAGTTCTATCAGTATAATTGCGTAGGGTACATTTAATATAGATAAGTGTACCCCTGGAGAAGCCTGGCAGGCTGTTCAAAAGGCCCCACAAAATGACAGTCACAACCTTGGTATATTAATTTTAGTCTAGAATCTGCCCTCAGCCCTGCAAGCTTGCAAATCTAATTTTGTCTGCAGAGGAAATCATTCTTTTGGGAATGGATTTCACAATAATCAAGCTCAGCAAGCTGATGCACAGGAGCAGAATGCTAGTTTTTAAATTACAACAAATGCAGGACACTTGAAGGTACTGTCAGTCTTCCGATTCAGTCAGGTTACATGGGAGATAGATCCACAACCAGAAGGCCAATATATTAATTTAAAAGAGAACTGAGTTTGTCCCCAGAACTTGCATAATGCAGTCCGCATGACTCATTCTTTCCCTGTAGAAAGGCTGAGTGTGAAGCCAAGTAAGTACAATCCATTAAGTAGGAAAATGGAACAAAGTGAAAAAAATCAGCTATGCTCGTCCTCCCCTTCATTTTATTTTAATTACAATTTAAATGGCATTTTAATTTATGTTTGTTATTACAGTAGATAAAATAGCATAGTAGAAGATAAAATGTTAATTAGATACATATTTACATTAAGTATCATGGAATGACTATTGAGTCACATAGTGTCCTCTTTCTGGGCCTCAATTAAAAATGGTGAATTGATCAAATAAACTTGATGTCTATTTTCAGCTCTAAGACATCCTGTTAATAGGAATAGCTAATATTTACTGAGTGGTATCTCATTCCTTTTTATTAAACAATTAGGTTCTTTTAGTTTTCCTTTTTGATGATAGAAAATGTCAAGTCATTCTAATAGCTAAATTATTATTCATACTTTTTCCTTAAAATTTGTTCACAGAAAAGTAGTTTCTGGGTCAATAATAAGAATATTTTACAAACTTTTGCTATATATCGCATTTCAGAAAGATTATACCAAATTAAATGTCCTCTAGTAGTTATATAAGTAAATGAATACACCTTCACATATATTGATGAAAATTGTACAGGAATATATTATTATGGTTATTTCTGAGGGGTGTGCTATTTATCTTTATTCTATGGTTGCATGTTTTATATTTGTTTATAACAAATGTATATTCTTATACATAAATGTATATTACTTATATAGTCATTGCTAATTTATATTTTCTATATGAAACATAATTTCCCAAGCACTTGTGCATTTAATTTGGATTATAACAATATAACAGACTGGTCTCCAAACTGTCTACCTAATGCTGCACAATTAGCAAGATTTAGTTATCTAAATGTTAAAACTGTCCATCTTGGGCTGAGGCAGCGGGCTGGCTGCATCAGGTAATAACTGTGCACTTAGCTTGCTACGTTAATTGCTACATTAATTGCCCCACCCCCAGGGTACACGCATGTGCCCTGAGGTAAGAAGAGGGTGTGAAGAACAGTGATCTCAGTTGGGTTGCAGGTTTCTTCTAAGCCTCCTGGCAATGCCACCACTGCCTCAGTTTAGTGCTGAAAAAAAATGAGTGGTGGCCAACTGCTAGAGAAATTTCCAGCCGACACAAGCCTAGCACTGAAGAAACCATGAGAGGCCCTACAGTGGAGAAAAAGAAAATATGCTCTATAGGATATGGGCAAGAGAGACAAGCCTTAACCAGGACAAAACCTGTTTCTCTTTAGGTATCCTTCCAGTGCCCTGTATTGACAACACATAGCACGTTGCCCAAGGGCAGAGAAGAACTATTTTAAAAGGCTCAGCTTCATTATTACGCAGCCTGCAAAAAGGATGAATTTAGAAATGAGAGATGAAAGATAAAAAACGGACAGAGGAAACATTCAGTGTTTTACTACTAAGCATAATGTTAGCCGTCAATCTTAGTAGATGCCTTTTTACAGGTTGAGGAAGTGCTCCTCTATTCTGAATTTCCTGAGAGTTTTTATTGGGAACGCACATAGGTTTTTCTATTTTGTCTTGTTTATTGGGGAATTACACTGATTGACGTTCAAATGTTAAATGAATCTTACATTTCCATTATTAACCCTAGTTTATAATAATAAATGAAGGAGTGTGTGTGTGTGTGTGTGTGTGTGTGTGTGTGTGTGTGTGTAAAGGGATCGACAGGGGAGACTGGTGCATATTTCTTTAGATAAGAGAGCTGGGGAAGGAAACAAAGCCAGAGCTCACTCCTAAGCTGTGCATGTGTGGAACAGACCCAAGGAAGTATCACAAAGGCTTTGAAAACTGAAAGACAATTTGAAACACCACCCAGGTCTTAGACTGACCTCTGCGTGGCAAAATCTCATACTAACTTCTGAGCGGTACATTTGAAAGACAAACACGATGCGGCATATTAAAGGCTTTGAAAATTGTACTGACATTGGAAACACTGCCCATGGAAGGCAAGAGGAACTACTTGTCTGATGCTATGGATTGACAATGTGTTAAAACAAACAAAGAAGCAAACAAAAATCAATATTCTCCAGAGAATTTTAACAGGATCTGGAGTCTAAATAGCATAACATGAAAAGTGTCCAGAATGAAATCTGAAATTATTTAGCATACAAAAAAATCAAGAAAATGTAACCAATTCTCAACAGAAGAGATGATCAACAAATACCAACCCTGAGATTACCCAGATATTAGAATTATCAAAAATATTAAAGCATCTGTTATGACTGTGTTCCATAAGGTATAAATAAACAAATTTAAAATAAATGCAGGAACAGAAGTCCTCAGCAGACAAATGTAAACTATAAAAAAGGAACAAAGAAAACATTTAGAACTGAAATATAGAATTAATGCTTAAGAAATTAGAAATAATTAACATCATACTGGGAGTTCTAACTAGTGTGACAAAGAGAAAAAAGGCAAGAGGATACAAAGTAAAAAATGAAACTTTTTCTATTTACATACAATATGTTTATCTCCATAATAAATCCCAAGGAATCTACAATAAAAGCTTCTAGAACTAATAAGGGAATTTAGCAAAGTCACTGTATGCAAAGTCAATATACAAAAATATGTTATGTTTCCATATATTGGCAATTAAAAATTGTAAAGCAAAAGTAAAACGAATAGTATCATTTATAACATCACCAAAGTACACAGTTTTGAGTCTAGTAAAATATGTGCAGGATCAGTATGTTGAAAATAAAACATTAATGGAAGCAATCAAAGAAGACATATATAAATGGAGAAACAAACTGTGTTTATGGATTGGAAGACTCAATATCATTAAGAAATCAATTCTACCTAAACTGTATCATCAATGCACTCTCGATCTGAATTCCAACAGAATATTTTTTTTTAGATATTAAGAAGACAATTCTAAAGTTTATATGTAAAGAATAATTATAATAGACAGACGCTTTTGAAAAACAACAAAGTTTGAGGGCTCATACTACTAGATTTTAAAACTTACTATAATGCATAATGCTATGTTAAATTAAGACCATGTGGTATTGACGGTATTGATGAAGGGACTCATAACTCAATAGAACAGAACAGAGATCCTGAGAACAGAACCACACATATATGGTCAATTGTTTTTTGAAAAATTGTGCAAAGGCAAGTAAATAGAGAAAAATGGTCTTTTCAACAAATACCAAATAATTCTGAAACAATTAGCCATTCATATAGTAAAACAAAACAAAACAAAACAAAAACCAGTGATCCCAGACCCATGCCTAACACCTCATACAAAAATACACTTAAATGAATCATACATTTAAATACAAAATCTGAAACTTTAATACCTTTGAACACTCGTGCAGTCCACATAGACCATTGTGGAATTTTCTGCAGTATTGTAAAAGAGAAACCAAGTCACATTCTCTGGTTTCCAGAAGAGTGTGGTATCTCAGCCTCAGGAACTCAAATTTGGTGTTTATAGAAGGAGGTCCCAAGGGGGTATACTATCAAGACGTGAACACACTCATTCTCCTTGGATTACTTTCTTCACATACCGTTGGGCATTTCTCATGATGTAGTCATTGGTAGCTATGAGGGAGCAATTAAAGTTAACCACATTTGCCACCCAAAATAAAATAACAATAGTGAGATGCTTTGAAAGAGAAAATATATACACCTCTTCCCAGTGTGTTTGCCTAGAGAATGGACTCCAATCCTGACCTCAAGCGTTCATGGTTCTTTTTGTGCCTGTCTCTTACATGTTTATGTCTTTGCCTGTGGTGACATTTAAACACCTGTAATTTAATTGCATCAAAATTTCTGGGAATTTGTAGATATCTACAATTAGCATTACCATTTAAGACAGAATTTAATAAATAATTAACAATTGTTTAGTTGTTATGTGTTCTTCCAGCAAATGCATCTTAAAAGTAACCGTAATAAACTAAATACATTCAAAGAAAGATTATAAATTGATAAAGTGGCTCATCGCATATGAAAATGATTTAATATACCTAACAGTTAATATTGATTGAATATTTGTAAGTACTGTGATTTTTTTTTCAAGTTTAGTGTTTTTTTCTTATTTAAGTCACAAAACAAACTTATTAAGTAGGAGAGAAAGACTAAAGCACAGAGAGATTTAATACCTTGATCACACAGCTGGAAAGTGATTGAGCTAAGAATTAAACCCAGATCTGATTCCAAAGCCAACACTTCTCCCCTTCTACTGTGAGAGCTCCCAAGGGATATTTTGTTTAGAGAAGTAGAGACATGACACTTGACTTCAAATACAAAAACTGCTATGTAGATTTGTCGTGTGGTTTTCCATGGTGAAAAGCCAGTAAAAAGACGTGAAACTAATAAAAACTTAGATTTCATTTCGGTATAAGGAGAAAAACAATGGTGAGATATGTTGCCTTGTGAAGGAGTGAGTTTACTACTACTGTAAAGAGTGTAAGCATGGATCAAAAAGCATTCTTTCAGAGATGTGATAAGGGACATTCCAATCAGAATGCAAGATTACCCTACATGTACCCTTTATATTGCTTATAATTTTGAGATCATTTGATTTTATTACATAGTCCATATTTTCATATATATGTATATTTATATGTACATATTATATATGTATATTTATATGTACATATTATATATGTATATTTATATGTACATGTTATATATGTATATTTATATGTACATGTTATATATGTATATTTATATGTACATGTTATATATGTATATTTATATGTACATGTTATATATGTATATTTATATGTACATGTTATATATGTATATTTATATGTACATGTTATATATGTATATGTACATATTATATATGTATATTTATATGTACATATATATGTGTATATATACATATTATATAATATGTATCTATAGATACATATTATATACATATATGTATCTGAGTAGGCACAATAAAGCTTAACAAATGGTTCTCTTTGTAAGCAGGTGATTTTCATTCAAATGTGATAGATCTATTCACCTTTAAAACATTACCCTTAGCAAACTAATGCAGGAACAGAAAACAAAACACTGCATGTTCTCTCTTATAAGTGGGAGCTAAATGATAAGAACTTATGAACACAAAGAAGGAAATGGTCACTGGGGTCTACTTGAGGGTTGAAGGTGGAAGGGGGAAGAGAAGCAGAAAAGATACCTATTGGATACTGGGCTTAAGTACCTGAGTGATTAAATAATCCATACAAAAAACCCCCATGAAATGAGTTTACCTAGGTAACAAACCTTCACATGTACTCCTGGACACTAAAAGTTTAAAACCCCCCAAAACAACAAACAGAAAAACCAATAAGAACTATGAATATATGTATAGCAGTTACCATGGTAACAAATTAACACCATTTTTAATGCATCTTAGAAGAAAAGAAGCACATGCCATGGGGAAAGCCAGAATTCCACTGAAGAAGAGTTCCCTTGGGATGGTAGATGCTCATTGGGATACTTTTGTGTATGGTATGTAGCTTAAAAAAAATCCAAAAAATCTCAATTATGTTCAAAATGAATACATACAAGCATTGTACTGATTATTTTATGCACACTAACTCTCTTAGTCTTTACCAAAACTCTGTAAAACAGGTAGTGCTAATTCTCATTTTACATCAGAAAGCTGAGGCACAAAGAATGTAAGTGAATTGAACAAGTATCTACATCTATTGGTGGGTAGATTTGGGTCTCACACGCAGAACAGTAGGAATGCTTTGCTGAGTAGTTACTAATTCTGACTTCCTAATACTCACTCAAAGACAATAATTCTAAATAATCTTATTTTGTATTGCTTTATTTTTACAATGTAATTTTATTTTCTCTTAATTAATTCTCAGAAAAGCCTTGCAAGATTGTTGTAATTTCCAGATAAGGACATTGAAATTCAGAGACTTAAAAACTTTTCTGAAACTAAAAAGTGAAGAGTAAGTTATACCCAAATCTTCTGACTCCATGTTTAGTCTTATTTCTATTACACCTTCACTGTCTCCAAAAATACTTGATGCGGAGAGAAACTGCCCCTGGGTAAGGGAAAAAATATCACTCACAGATTCATGCTTCCAAGTTTGGAGAAGTTTTCCTGGCACCCTTGCAGCCATTAACTGTCTTTATATATTATTATTTTAATAGTTTATGGCACCAGCTTATAGCTCAGGAGAGGAACACGAGTCTTTCAAGATTATATTATACTAAGTTAATAGGTTGTAGAGCTACAGAGAAGTTTTAGTGCCTAATGATAATCCCCAAGAACATACTTCAGATTATGGTGTAACAAAGATAAATTTGCATCATATTCATTTCATTCAGAAATAACAGCCTATCTCCTTGTTTTACTTCTACTTATGAGTTCAAATATTCAGTAAGCCTGCAGACTTTTTCCCGGACATAAGTGAAATGACCTCACCCACAGAGGTAGATCCCATCCTTTAAATGAAAGGTTTTACCGTTTTTTGTTCGTGTATTTATAGTAACCCCCAATTATTCTAATAAAAATAACTATTCACATACTATCTGTCCATTTGTTGGTGGCGGCGGGAGACTGTCTCAAAGAAACCAAAGTGGAAATAATCAAGCATGGTTCCTTGGATCCTAATATCCCAAAGATTGGTGAATTGAATTTAAGTCAGGAGAGAAAACAACTTTTATGTGTTTCAGGATATACATATGGAAACATGTCCAACAAGGGTTTGGAAAGGAAGATTGAGGGTTTACTCTAGATATCGTGGCTAAGTCATCCTGCAAAAAGGGAAGTCCTCAACCTCTGAAAGAGCATAATGTTCACTTACATCATAGTTCTCCTTCACTTGGGTTTATGGATATGAAGAATTTCTAAGTAACAAAAAGGAAGCTGACACTGATCTGGCTTGATCCTCTTTAGAGACATTATTTTATTATGATTCAAACCAGCACCATAAGGCAGTTAAGTGTAGTGTTTACTGCATAATTCAGAAAAATATTTAACAAAACTTTAAGTATAAAACTCTATTACTTACTACAATACCCATCTTTCTTAACCCATTTACACCTGAAGTTGCAATTTTTTGAATTTTTGCAGTCAGACCTTGGCAATGACCTTCAGCAGTAGGATATAAATAACTCCCACATGCTTAGTGTTCCAATAATGGAACACTGGGCATAAGTGGCTAAATGCCTCCCATTTTGTCATAACAACAAATATGTATCTAATAATAATCTAATTTTGTTGACAAAAAGGGATTCAGAGAAAACTGCTGGTGTTTACCCCTTGAAAACCATCTTCTAGAGTACCTCAAATTTACCAACACCTGCAATAATTTCAGACATATCAGAGTTCCATAATAATTTGTCTTAGGATGCTGATCTAATAGTACAACTTTTTTTAACAAATATCATAAATTATATTGGTTTTATATATCAATTAGAGAGCAATCAGTTGTTTTTTTTGTTGTTGTTGTTTTTGTTTGTTTTTTTTAGACAAAGTCACACTCTGTCGCCTAGGCTGGAGTGCAGTGGCACAATCCCGGCTCACTAGAACCTCTGCCTCCCAGGTTCAAGCGATTCTTGGGCCTCAGCCTCCCAAGTAGCTATGATGACAGGTGCCTGCCACCACGCCTGGCTAATTTTTGTATTTTTAGTAGAGATGGGGTTTCACCATGTTGGTCTCAAACTCCTGACCTCAGGTGATCCACCCGCCTTGGCCTCCCAAAGTGCTGGGATTACAAGCATGAGCCACCATGCCTAGCTGCAATTAGATTATTTTCAAGAGGCTATTAATATGTATTCTAAACAACTTTGACCATCACGGAATAAAGATTTGAGAAGGAATATGATTTGACCTAACACACAAACTTCTTCCTAGACTATGAGAAAGCTGGAAGAAATGTTCAAAGCCTTCTGCTCCCCAACACATTTCAGTCCAATTATATCAGAATATTAAGTCTTGGTCTGGGTCATATTAAATCTCTAGAACCCCTTCAGTGGTTTTGGATACCCTTGAGTTTTTCGTGTGTTAGCTTTCAAATTCTTGACTTAATGGAACCCATGATGATTTATGCATCGTAAGAACAGGAAATAAACACCTCACACCAAGCATCAAGAAATAAACTTTCACAAATAATTTATTCTAGTTAAACCTGTTCATGTATCAAAACAACATTCAAAATTCTGTTGCAGTTCAGTTATTTCTCATTAATATAAATAACTGACCGTGAAAAGCAATTGGCAACTTCTGGTTTCTGGTCCAGCATGTAAGAGCTTCAGGGTAACCCTTTATCCTACCAACAGGTAAAAAGCTGAAGCTCACTAAACTAAAAAATCATCAACTCTTCTTTGCTCTATCAGAGGAGTGAGGCCACAGGAAAAACCACTGTCCCAAAAATTGGAGAAAGAGGTGAATACAGAGAATCATATCTTACTGGAACAGAAACCCATGAATGGAAACCTCCATCAGAACCAGTGCTGGGGTAGAAAAACCTAAACAGTAATTGATGAATGGTTGCAGGCTCAGTGTGGACAAGTATGAGATTCGAAAACTTAGCGGTATCCAGTTATAGGATAGTCTCCACCCTTCTGTGAGGTTTGCTTCCAGAAGTTTGGCCAGGTTTTCTTTTTTTTATTTTATTACACTTTAAGTTTTGGGGTACATGTGCACAACGTAGTGAATATTGGAGAAAAGTTCCTTAACGCTTCTGGCAGGGGGAGTGGAAAAGGAACCACTTTAAAGCATTCTGAAGAATTATGTTTTTCTTAGTCTGACCTCAGGAGAAACTATTAAATCAGCACCTAACCTGCTGGAGTTTTATCAGCGCCTAAATGACCTGGGGGAAAGAAAACACCCAACTCCAACCAGCTCTGGCCTTCTATGTGGCAGAAAAACAATCTCACCTCTGACCCACTCTAGCCATTCTGTCCCAATTCAGGACAGGGGAGGAATTGAGAAGCACTTGTGAACTTCAAAATCTAAAGGCAGAATCTCACTAAAGACTGAGACCCAACCATAGGAATATAGAAAGCTTTTCCTTCCCGCACACATTACCACCACATGACTAAAGTCCTATTTCTAATAGTTTCTTTTACTCAGTACCTCATGTCCAGCTATTAAGAAAAAAACTGCCAGACATACCAAAAGGCAAAAAGCACAGATGAAGAGACAGAGTAAGTGTATGAACCACATTCAGATATGGCAGGGAACCTGGATAATTAGACTGAGAATTTAAAATGTGCTTTTATGCTAGGGGCTCTAAGTGGATAAAGTAGACAGCATGCAATAACAGACGAGCAATGATAGCAAAGAGAGTGACATTTGAAGAAAGAACCCCTCCCTCAGTAAAAGCCAGAGATCAAAAATACTGTAACAAAAATGAAGAATGCCTTTGATGGACTTATTAGTAGTTTGGACAAAACAGAATTTAAACCAACAAAGATAAAAAAACACAAAGAAGAATATTACATAATGGCGAAGGGCCCAATTCACAAGAAGACCTAACTATTCTAAATATATACATACTCAGCACAGGAGCAACCAGATTCATACAGCAATTCTTAAAGACCTACAAAGGGATTAGATAACCACACAATAATAGTGGAAGACTTCAACACCCCACTAGGTATTAGACAGATCATTGTGACAGAAAATTAACAAAGATCAAAGGGACCTGAACTCAACACTTGATGAAATAAACTTAATAGACATCTATAAAATTATCCACCCCAAAACAACAGAATATACATTCTTCTCATCTGTACATGACACATATTCTAAAATTGGTTCAACATACAGAAATCAATAAATGTGGTTCATCACACAAATAGAACTAAAGACAAGAACCACATGATCACCTCAATAAATGCAGAAAAGGCTTTTGATAAAATTCAACATCACTTAATGTGAAAACCCTCAACAAACTAGGCATTGAAGGAACATACTACAAAATAATAAGAGCCATTTATGAAAAACCCACAGCCAACATCATGCTGAATGGGCAAAAGCTAGAAGCATTCCTGTTAAAGACTGGAACAAGACAAGGATGCCCTCTCTTGCCACTCGTATTCAACATAGTACTGTAATTCCTAGCCAGAGCAATCAGGAAGAAGAAAGAAATAAAATGAAGAGAGCTAGTCAACCTATCCCTGTTTGCAGATTATATAATTCTATATCTAGAAAACTCCATAGTCTGTGTCCAAAAGATCCTAGATATGATAAACAACTTCAGCAAAGTTTCAAGATACAAAATCAATGCACAAAAATCAGTAGCATTTCTCTACTGCAACAACGTCCAAGCTGAGGGCCAACTCAAGAATGCAATCCCATTCACAATAGCCACAAAAAGAATAAAATACCTAGGAATACAGCTAACCAGAGGGGAAAAAGATCTCTACAATGAGATTTACAAAACACTACACAAAGACACAAATGAATGGAAAAACATTCCATGCTCATGGATAGGGAGAATCAATATTGTTAAGATGGACATAATGTCCAAAGCAGTTTAGGGATTCAATTCTGTTCCTATCAAACTACCAATGACATTCCACGCAGAATTATAAAAAGGTATTTTAAAATTCATATGGAACCAATAACAGCCTGAATAGCCAAGATAATCCTAAACAAAAAGAACAAAGCTAAAGGCATCACATTACCCAACTTCAAACTATACTACAAAGCTGCAGTAACCAAAATAGCATGGTACTGGTACAAAAACAGACAAATAGACCACAGGAACAGAATACAGAGTCCAGAAATAATTCCATACATCTAAAACCATCTGATCTTCAACAAAAATTGACAAAAACAAACAATGGGGGAAAGGACTCCCTATTCAATAAATGGTGCTGGGATAACTGAACCCCTTCCTTATGCCATACACAAAAATAAACTCAAAATGGATTAAATACAATGTAAAACCGAAACTCTAAAAACCCTGTAAGATAACCTAGGAAATACTATTTTGGACACAGGACCTGGAAAATATTTCTTGATGAAGATGCCAAAAGCAAATGCAACAAAAACAAAAATCAACAAATGGGGCCTAATTAAATAGAGCTTCTGCATGGAAAACAAACAACAACAACAACAAAACAATGAATAAACCGACAAATTACAAAATCAGAGAAGATATTTGCAAACTATGCATCCAACAAAGGTATAATATCCAGAATCTATAAGGAACTTAAACAAATTTAATTTACAAGCAAAAAACAAACCCATTAAAAAGTGGACAAAGGACATAAACAGACACTTTTCAAAAGAAGACATACAAGTGGCTCACAAGCATATGAGAAAATGCTCAACATCACTAATCACTAGAGAAATGCAAATTAAAACCACGACAAGATACCATTTCACACCAGTCATAATGACTACTATTAGAAAGTAAAAAAGTAACAGATCCTGGTGAAGTTGTAGAGAAAAGGGAATGTTTTATACACTGCTGGTGGGAATAAAAATTAGTTCAGTCATTGTGGAAAGCAGTGTGTCAATTTCTCAAAAAACTTATAACAGAATTACCATTTGACCCAGTAAACCCATTATTGGGTATATACCCAAAGGGATAAAAATTGTTCTACCATAAAGGCACATACATGCATATGTTTATCGTAGTGCTATTCACAATAGGAAAGACATGGTATCAACCTAAATATCCATCAACAGTAGGTTGGGTAAAGAAAATATAGTATAGATACACATCATGAAATACTATGCAGCCATAAAAAGAATGAGATCATGTCCTTTGTAGCAACATGGATAGAGCTGGAGGTCATTATCCTTAGGAAACTAGCACAGGAACAGAAAAAAAAAATAACACACATTCTCACTTGTAAGTGGGAGCTAAACACTGGGTAGATATTGACACAAAGAAGGGAACAACAGACACTGGGGCCTACTACAGGGTGCAGGGTAGGGGAAGGGTGAGAATTGAGAAACTACCTATCCGATACTATGCTTATTACTTGGATGACGAAATAATTTGTACACCAAACCCTGCAGCACACAATTTACACACATAGCAAATCTGCACACGTACCCCTGAACCTAAAAGTTAAAAAAAGAATTATAAAAAGTACCTAAACATATTAATATGTGAAGAAATTTAATTGTAAATACTCCCTGAAATAGCATATTTGCTATAATAAATAATTTCAACAGCAACAAAAAAGAAAGGTAGCTGGAAAATTCTAAAATATTGGAGATTAAACAACCTACTTCTAAACAATACAAGAAAGGGTCAAAGAAGGAAACACAAGAAAAATTTTAAAATAATAGAACTAAATGAAAATGAAACATTAACTTATCAAAATTTTGGGGAAACCGCAAAAGCAGTACTTAGAGGACAATTTGTAGCATTAAATACACATATTAGAAAAGAAGAAAAATCTGATATCATTCGTTAAAGCATCAATCTTAGGAAACTAGAAAAGAAAGAACAAATTAAATCCAAATCATGAAGAATAAAATAGATAATAAGGCCAAATATAGTGGTTCATACCTGTAATCACAGCACTTTGGAAGGCTGAGGCAGGGTTGCTTGAGTCCAGTTTGAGACCATCCTGGGGAACATAGTGCGATCTTGTTTCTACAAATTAAAAAAAAAAAACAGAGAGATTGCTGGGCATGCTGGTATGTGCCTGTGGTCCCAGCTATTCAGAAGGCTAAGGTGGAAGGATCACTTGAGCCTGGAAGCTCAAGGCCACAGTGAGCCATGATCACTCCACTGCATGCCAGCCTAGGAAACAGAGTGAGATCCCCTCACAAAAAGAAAGAAAAGGAAAGAGAGGCGAGGAGAGGAAAGGAAAAAAAAGAAAAGAAAGAAAAGAAAAGAAGAAAAGAAACAATAAAAATTAGAGCAGAAATTCATGAAATTGAAAATAGGGAATCAACAAAACCAAAAGCTTGTTCTTTAAAAATATCAATATGATTTATGTCGTAGCCTAGCAGGCTAATAAAAAAGAGAGAAGATACAAATTACTTATATTAGAAATAAATGTGGGAACATCACTACAGAGCCCATGCACATTTAACAGGATAATAAATTATATGCCCACAAATTTCATAACCTAGATGAAATGGACCAGTCAGTTCCTTGAACAACACATCTGCCAAAACTCATTCAAGAAGAAATGGACAATCTTAATAGGCCTGTATCTATTAAAGAAATTAAGTAAATAATTAATATCTTCCCAAACTAGAAAGTATCAGGCCCAAATGGGCTCAGTGATAAATTCTACCCAACATTTCAGGACGAAATTATACCAATTCTGTACAATTTCATCTAGGAGATAAGACACAGAATACTTTCAAACTAATTTTATGAGGCCAGCCTTAAACTAATACCAAAAGTAGACAAAGTTGTTACTAGAAAATAAAACTACAGATCAATATGTCTCAAGTGCATAGGTAAAAGAATCCTCAACAAAATATTAGTAAATTGAATCCAACAATGTATAAAAAATATGCACTATGATCAAGTGGAATTTATTCCAGGTATACCAGGCTGGTTAAGCACTTAAAAATCAATTCATGTAATTTATTACATCAACAGGCTAAAGAAGAAAATTCACATGATCATACAATATATACAGAAAAAGCATTTGACAAAGTCCAATGTCCATTCATGCCAAAAACTCTCAGCAAACTAGGAATAAAGAGCAGCTTCCTCAACTTGACAATGCATGTATATGAAAAAGGAAAAACCCAACCTTACAGTTAACATCATGCTTAATAATGAGAAACAAGTGCTTTCCCACTAAGATCAGGAATAAGGCACTATGTCCCCTCTCACCACTCATTTTTATCATTGTATTGGAAATGCAATGTTTCTTCTCTTATTGAATTAGCTAAGATCTAAGATTTTCTAAGAAGAAATCTTAGATATAGCCAAGATTTTCTTGGCTAATACAATAAGACAAGAAAAGGAAATAAAAGATACATTCATTGGGAAGGAAGAAGTGTAACTGTCTTTATTCACAGATAATATGGTTGTCTATGTGGAAAATCTATAAGAATTGACAGAAAAAGAAAATCAGCAACAACAATAAAAAATTCTTGAACTAAATAGTAATTATAGAAAAGTTGCAGGATAAAAGGTTAACATACCAAAGCCAATTGTTTCCCTATACTGATACAATTGTTTCCCTGTAATGAAAAGTGGAATTTGAAATTAAAAGCATAATAACATTTACATGAACACTTCATCAAAGAAAAAAATACTTAGGTATCAATCTAACAAAGACCTATATGAGCAAAACTGCAATCTCTGGTGGAAGAAATCCAGTAAATAAGTAAATGGAGAGAGAGTCCATGTTTGTGGAGAAGAAACAGTATTGTCAAAATGTCAGTTCTTCCCAATTTGATCTATAAATTCAATGCAACCCCAGTAAAAATTCCAACATGTTAGTTTGTGAATATTTAAAAATTGATTTTTTTTCTTCATTGAGAAGGGATCTCACTCTGTTGCCCAAGCTGGAGGAGAGTGGCACAATCTTGGCTCACTGCAGCCTTGAACTTCTGGGCTCAAGTGATCCTCCCCACTTGGCCTCCCTAATAGCTGGGAATACAGATGTGCACCACCATGCCTGACTACAAACTGATTATTAAAGTTTATGTTGAGAGGTGAAAGATCCAGAATAGCCAACACGATGTTAAGGAAAATAATGAAGTTGAAGGACTGACACTACCTAACTTCAAGGCTTACTTTAAAGCTACAGTCATCAAGACAGTTTGTAATTCATAAAAATAACAGACATATAGATTAACACAACAGAATATATTGTCCAGAAATAGACCCACATAAATATAGCCAACTGATATTTGACAGAAGAACAAAGACAACATAAAATGGCAAAAAGAAAGCCTTTTAAACAAATTGTGCTATAGCTGGTTATTCGCATATAAAAAAACAAAATCTAGACAAAATTCAAACTCTTCACAAAAATTAACCCCAAATGGATTCCAGACCTAAATATATTAAATGCAAAACTATAAAATACCTATAAAAACACAGGAGAAAATCTAGATAACCTTGGATTTAGTGATGGCTTTCTAGAAAAAACATGAAATTCATGATTCATTAAAAAAAGACTTGCTAATCTGCACTTCCTTAAAACTAAAAATTTCAGGTCTGCAAAAGACATTGTCAAGAGAATAAAAATACAAGCCACAGATTGAAAGCAAATATTGGTAAAAGACACATATAATAAATGACTGTTATTATTCAAAATATACAAAGAAGTCTTAAAACTCAATAATATATTTTAAAAAACCCTGATTTTAAAATGGCCCAAATACCTTAGCAGATACCCCACCAAAGAAAATATACAGACAACAAATAGGCATTTGAAAAATGCTCCACATCATACGTCATCAGAGAGATGCAAATAAAAACAACAATGAAATACACTATACATCTACTAGAATGGCAAAAATCCAGAACACTGACAACACCAAATGCTGGGGAGGATATGAGGCAACATGAATGCTCATTCATTGCTTATGGGAATGCAAAATAGTACAGCCAGTTTGGAAGACAGTTTGGCAGCTGCTGACAAAACTAAACATATTCATCATATGATCCAGGAAAAACACTCCTTGGTGTTTACCTAAAGGAGTTGAAAACTTATGTCCACACCAAAACCTGCTAATGTATGTTTATAGAGGCTTTTCCATAATTGCCAAAACTTGGAAGCAATCAAGATGTTCTTCAGCAGATGACTGGATAAATAAATTGTGAGTGTGTGTGTCTTTATGGTAGAACAATTTATATTCTTTTGGGCATATATCCAGTGCTGGGTCAAATGGTAATAACTAAATTGCATTCCCACCAACAGGGTATAAACATTTCCTTTTCTCCACAGTCTTGCCGGCATCTTTTGTTGTCTGACTCTATTGATAGTCATGCTGACTGGTATGAGATAGTATCTCATTGTGGTTTTGATTTGCATTTCTTTCATGATTAGTGATGCTGAACATTTTTTCATGTTCGTTGGTGGCTTAAATGTTTTCTTCTGAGAGGAGTTTGTTCATGTCTTTTGCCTATTTTTAATGGGGTTATTTATTTTTTGCTTGTCAATTTATTTAAATTACCTATAGATTCTGGATATTCAGACTTTGGTGGATGATTAATTTGCAAATTATCTTCTCCCATCCTTTTTCTTTGCGTCCGTGAGTGTCCCACTCATAGTGTCCCACTTGTCTATTTTTGTTTTTGTTGCAATTGCTTTTGGGGACTTAGCCAAACACTCTTTGCCATGGCTGATGTTGAGAAGAGTGTTTTCTAGGTTGTCTTTCAAGATTTTTATACTTTGAGGTTCTACCTTTAAATCTTTTGTCCATTTTGAGTTAATTTTTGTATAATGTATATTGTATATATTGTATATTTTTGAGACACAGCGAGACTCCATCTCAAAAAAAATAAAAAAAAAATCGATTGATTTTGTATTCCATAACTTTACTGAAGTTGTTTATCAGTTCTAGGAGCCTTTTGGGAGATTCTTTAGGATTTTCTAGGTATAGAATCACATCATCAGCAAAGAGATATTTTGACTTCTTCATTTCCTATTTTATGCCTTTTATTTCTTTCTCTTGCCTGATTGCTTTGGCTCAGACTTTCAGTACTATGTTGAATAGGAGTGGTGACAGTAGGCATCTTTGTCCTATTCTAGTGCTCATGGGGAATGGGTTCAGCTTTTGTCCATTCAGTATTATGTTGGCTGTGGGTTTGTCATAGAAGGCTCTTATTATTTAGGTATGTTCTTTCAATGCTGAATATGTTGAGGGTTTTTATTATGAAGAGATGTTGCATTTTATTGAAAGCTTTTTCTGTGTCTATTGTGGTTTTTGTTTTTAATTCTGTTTATGTGATGAAAAACATTTATTGACTTGCATTTTGAACCAGGCTTGCATCCTGGTGTATTAACTTTTTGATGTGCTGCTAGATTCTGTTGCTAATATTTTGTTAAGGATTTTTGTATCTGTGTTCCTGAGGAATATTGGCCTGAAGTTTACTTTTTTCACTTTATCTGTGCCAGATTTTGATATGTGCCAGGCTGATGCTGGCTTCATAGAATGAGTTAGGGAGGAGTCTCATTTCCTTGATATTTTGGAATAGTTTCAGTAGGATTTGTTTCAGTTCTTCTTTGTACATTTGGTAAAATTTGGCTGTGAATCTATCTGGTCCAGGGTTTTTGTTTTGCTTTGTTTTGTTTTCTTACTTAATAGGTTCTTGATTATTCATTTAATTTCAGAATTTGATTTTGTCTATTCATGGTGTCAATCTTTTTTTGATTCAATCTTGGAAAATTGTGTGCTTCCAGGAATTTATCCATTTCCTCTAGATTTTCTAATTTTTTTGCATATAGCTGTTCATAGTTGTCTCTGAGGATCTTTTCATTTTTGTGAGATCAGTTGTAATAGTGCCTTTATCATTTCTGATTATGCTTATTTGGGTCTTTATCTTTCTTAATCTAGCTGGCAGTCTGTTCAACTTATTTTTTTTTTGAAAAACCAACTCCTGGTTTAATTGATTATTATTATTATTATTATTATTATATTATTGTTATACTTTAAGTTCTGAGATACATGTGCAGAACGTGCAGGTTTGTTACATAGGTATATACGTGCCATGGTGGTTTTCTACACCCGTCATCTACATTAGGTATTTCTCCTAATGCTATCCCTCTCCTAGCCCCTCACCCCCAACAGGCCTCAGTGTGTAACGTTCCTCTCCCTGTGTCCATGTGTTCTCATTGTTCAACTCCCACTTATGAGTGAGAACATGTGGTGTCTGGTTTTCTGTTCCTGTGATAGTTTGCTGAAAATGATGGTTTTCACCTTCATCCACGTCCCTGCAAAAGACATGAACTCATCCTTTTTTATGGCTGCATAGTATTCCATGGTGTCTATATGCCACATTTTCTTTATCCAATCTATCATTGATGGGCATTTGGGTTGGTTTCAAGTCTTTGCTGTTGTGAACAGTGCTACAATAAACATTCATGTGCATATGCTTTTACAGTAGAATGATTTATAATCCTTTGGGTATATACCCAGTAATGGGATTGCTGGGTCAAATAGTATTTCTGGTTCTATATCCTTGAGGAATTGCCACACTCTTCTACAATGGTTGAACTAATTTAGACTCCCACCAACAGTGTAAAAGTGTCCTATTTCTCCACATCCTCTCCAGCATCTGTTTCTTCCTGACTTTTTAATGATAGCCCTTCTAACTGGTGTGAGATGGTATCTCATTATGGTTTTTAGTTTTGATTTGCATTTCTCTAATGACCAGTGATGATGAACATTTTTTCATGTTTGTTGGCCACATAAGTGTCTTCTTTTGAGAAGTGTCTGTTCATACGCTTCACCCACTTTTTTTTTTTTTTTTGAGATGGAGTCTCGCTCTATCACCCAAACTGGAGTGCAGTGGTGCAATCTCGGCTCACTGCAACCTCTGCCTCCCAGGCTCAAGAGATTCTCCTGCCTCAACCTCCCAAGTAGCTTGGATTACAGGCACACACACACACACACACACACACACACACACACACACCACCGTGCCCAGCTAATTTTTGTACTTTTAGTAGAGATGGGGTTTCACCATGTTGTGCAGGCTAGTCTTGAACTCCTGACCTCAGGTGATCCACCTTCCTTGGTCTCCCAAATTGCTGGGATTACAGGAGTGAGCCACCATGCCCAGCCTTGCTTGTTTTTTTCTTGTAAAATTTTTTAAGCTCCTTGTAGATTCTGGATATTAGCCTTTTGTCAGATGGATAGATTGCAAAAATTTTCTCCCATTCTGTAGGTTGTCTATTCACTCTGATGATAGTTTCTTTTGCTATGCAGAAGCTCTTAAGTTTAATTAGATCCCATTTGTCAATTTTGGCTTTAGTTGCCATTGCTTTTGGTGTTTTAGTAATTGATCTTTTGTATGGATTTTTGCATGCCACTTTTATTAAGTTCTCTACTTTTGGTTATTTCTGCTTTCCTAGCTTTGGGTTTTTTTTTTTTTTTCTAGCTCCCTAGGTGCATAGATTGCTAATTTGAGATCTTTCTGATTTCTTAGTGAAGGTGTTTAGGGTTATAATCTTTCTTCTTAACACTATTTTGGTTGCATCCCCCAGATTTTAATAAGCTGTGTCCCTATTTTTATTAATTTCAAAGAATTTTTTTATTTCTTCTTTAATTTCATTGTTCACCCAGGAGTTATTCAGAAGTAAGATTTTTAATTTCCATGTGGTTGTGTAGTTTTCTTTTTCTTTAAATTTTCCATAGGTTATTGGGGTACAGATGGTGTTTGATCATATGAGTAAGTTCTTTAGTGGTGATTTGTGAGATTTTGGTGCACCCATCACCTGAGCAGTATACACTGCACCTTATTTGTAGTCTTTTATCCCTCACCCCTCTCCCACCCTTCCTGCCAAGTCCCCAAAGTCCATTGTACCATTCTTATGCCTTTGTATGCTCACAGTTTAGCTCCCACATACCAGTGAGAACATACAATGTTTGGTTTTGCATTCATGAGTTACTTCACTTAGAATAAGCATCTCCAATCTCATCCAAGTCACTGCAAATGCTGTTGTTAACTCATTCCTTTTTATGGCTGAGTAGTATTCCATTGCATATATATACCACAGTTTCTTTATCCACTTGTTGATTGATTGGCATTTGGGTTGCTTCCATGACTTTGCAATTGTGAATTGTGCTGCTATAAACATCTGTGTGCAGGTATCTTTTTCTTATAATGACTTTTTTTTTCCTTTGGGTAGATACCCAGTAGTGGGATTGCTGGATCAAATGGTAGTTCTACTTTTAGTTCTTTAAGGAATCTCCACACTCACACTGTTTTCCATAAAGGTTGTACTAGTTTACATTCCCACCAGCAATGTAGAAGTGTTCTCTGATCACCACATCCATAACAACATCTACTGTTATCTTTTGATTATGGCCATTCTTGCAAGAATAAGGTCATATGACATTGTGGTTTTGATTTTCATTTATCTGATAATTAGTGATGCTGAGCATATTTTTTCATATGTTTTTTGGCCATTTGTATATCTTCTTTTGAGAACTGTCTATTCATGTCCCACTTTTTGATGGGAGTGTTTGTTTTTTTCTTGCTGATTTGTATGAACTCATTGTAGATTCTGGATATTAGTTCTTTGTCAGGTGTATAGTTTGCAAAGATTTCCTCCCACTCTGTGGGTTTTGTGTTTACTCTGCTGACTCTTCCTTTTGCAGTGCAAAAGATCTTTAGTTTAATTAAGCCCCAGCTTTTTATCTTTGTTTTTATTGCATTTGCTTTTGGGTTCTTGGTCATGAAATCCTTGCCTAAGCCCATGTCTAGAAGGGTTTTTCCAATGCTATCTTCTAGAATTTTTACAGTTTCAGATCTTATATTTAAGTCCTTAATTGATCTTGAGTTGATTTTTGTGTAAGGTGAGAGATGAGGGTCCAATTTCATTCTCTCTGGCTAGCCAATTTTCCCAGCACCATTTGTTGAAAAGGATGTCATTTCCCCACTTTATGTTTTTGTTTGCTTTCTTGAAGATCAGTTGGCCTGTAAATATTTGGGCTTACTTTTTGGTTTTCTTTTCTGTTCCATTGGTCTATATGCCTATTTTTATATAAGTACCATGCTGTTTTGGTGACTATGGCCTTACAGTATAGTTTGAAATCAGGTAGTGTGATGTCTCCAGATTTGTTCCTTTTGATTAGTCTTGCTTTGACTATGTGGGCTCTTTTTTGGTTCAATATGAATTTAGAACTGTTTTTTCTAATTCTGTAAAGAATGATGGTGGTATTTTGATGGGGATTGTGTTGAATTTGTAGATTACTTTTGGCATTATGGCCATTTTCACAATATTGATTCTACCCATCAATGAGTACAGGTTGTGTTTCCATTTGTTTGTGTCATCTATGATTTCTTTCAGCAGTGTTTTGTAGTTTTCCTTGTAGAGGTCTTTTGCCTCCTTGGTTAGGTATAATCCTAAGTATTTTATCTTTTTTGTAGTACTCTTACCACTCCTCCTCAACATAGCACTTGAAGTCCTAGCCAGAGCCACCAGACAAGAGAAAGAAATAAAGCGCATACAAATTGGGAAAGAAGTCAAACTGTCATTGTTTGCTGACGATATGATCGTTTACCTCAAAAATCCTAAAGACTCCTCCAGAAAGCTCCAGAACTGATAAAAGAATTCAGCAAAGTTTCTGGATACAAGATTAATATACACAAATCAGTAGCTCTTCTGTACACCAACAGCAACCAAGCGAAGAATCAAATCAAGAACTCAACCCCTTTTACAATGGTTGTGTAGTTTTGAGAGATCTTGTTATTGATTTCCATTTTTTATTGCACTGTGGTCAGAGAGTGTGCTTGGTATGAGTTCAATTTTTCTACAAAAAGTTATTTAGTCTTGCTTTATAAGAAAGCATGTGGTCAATCTTAGAATATGTTCTGTGTGCAGATAAGAAGAATGTATATTCTGTGGTTGTAGATTGGGGTGTTCTGTAGATTTCTATTATATCCAGTGGGCCAAGTGTTGAGTTTAAGTCCAGAGTTTCTTTTTTAGTTTTCTGCATCAGCAATCTGTCTAATGCTGTCAGTGTGGTGTTAAAGTTTCCCACTATTATTGTGTGGTTGTCTAAGTCTTTTTGTAGGCCAGGAAGAATTTGTTTTATGAGTCTAGGTGCTTCAATATTGGATGCATATATATTTAGGATAGTTAGGGCCTCTTGTTGGATTGTACCCTTTATCATTATGTAATGCCCTTTATCGTCCTTCTAAATTGTTATTGGTTTCAAGTCTGTTTTATCCGATATAAAAATAGCCACTCCTGCTCTTTTTGTTTTCCATTTGCATGGTAGATCTCACTCCACCCTTTTACTTTGAACCTGTGGGTGTTGTTATATATGGGATGGGCTTCTTGAAGGCAACAGATGGTTGGGTTTTGTCTTTTTATGCAGCCTGCCATTTTGTGTCTTTTGAGTGGAACATTTAGCCTATTTACATTGATGTAGTTAGTACTGATATGTGTGCTTTTGATCCTGTCACTGTGTTGTTAGCTGGCCGTTATGTAGACTTGATTGTTTTTATAGTGCCCGTGGGCTATTGCTTAAGTGTACTTTTTCGGTAGAAGGTGTGGTTCTTTTGAATCCATGTGTATCTTTCCCTTAAGGACCTCTTGTAAGGCTGGTCTAGTTGAAACCTATTCCCTCAGCATTTGCTTGTCAGTGAAGGATTTTATTACTCCTTTATCTATGAAGCTTAGTTTGGCAGGATATGCAGTTCTTGGTGAGAATTTATTTTCTTTAAGGTTGATGAAATAGGCCCCCAGTCTCTTCTGGGTAAGGTTTGTGCTGTAAGGTCTGCTACTAGACTGATGAGACTCCCTCTGTAGGTGACTTGCCCCTTTTCTCTAGTTGTCTTTATATTTTTTTATAAAATATATGTCTTTATATATTTTTTTCCTTTGGCTGGGCGCAGTGGCTCATGCCTGTAATCCCAGGCCAAGGTGGGTGGATTACTTGAGGTCAGGAGTTCAAGACCAGCCTGACAAACATGGTGAAACCCCATTTCTACTAAAAATTCAAAATTAGTCAGATGTGGTGGCGGTCGCCTGTAATTCCAGGTACTTGGGGGGCTGAGGCAGGAGAATCACTTGAACCCAGGAGGCAGAGCTTGCAGTGAGCTGACATCATGTCATTGCACTCCAGCCTGGGCAACAAGAGTGAAACTCTGTCTCAAAAAAAAAAAAAAAAACAAAAAAAAAAACCATTTTTTTTTTTTCTTTTTTCTTTTTTTACCTTTGTATTGACCTTGGTGAATCTGATGACTATGAGCCTTGGGGATGGTTGTCTTGTATAGTATCTGGCTGGGGTTCTCTGTATTTCTTGGATTTACATATAAACCTCTAGTGATATTAGGGAAAATTTCATGGACTATATCCTCAAATACATTTTCCAAGTTCCTTATTCTCTCTCAGGAATGCTGGTGAGCCATAGATTTGGTCTCTTTACCCATATTTCTCATAGGTTTTGTTTATTTTTCTTAATTCCTTTTTTCTTTATCTGACTGACTTGATTCAAAGGACTGGTCTTCAGGCACTGAGAATTTTTCCTCAGCTTGGTCTATTCTGTTGTTATTACTTCTGATTGTATTATGAAACTCTTGTAGTGAATGTTCCAACTCAGGAGGTTCAGTTTGCGTCATTCTAACAATGGATATTTTACTTACAATCTTACAATGGATTGTTTTCCTGGGTGTTTGGGATTCTTGGATTGAGTTTCAACTTTCTCCTGGATCTCAATAAGCTTCCTTACCATCCAGATTCTGAATTCCATGACTGTCATTTCAGACAATCCAGACTGGTTAAGAACCATTGCCGGGTAGCCAATGGGCTCATTTGGAGGTGAGGGGACACTCTGGCTTTTTGAATTGCCAGAGTTCTTGTGCTACTTCTTTCTCATCTGGAAAGGTGTATATTCCTTTAACTGTGGTGTAAGTTGAGTGTAGTCAGTTGGCTTCATTTCTGGAAGTTTTCAGAGGGTAAGGCTGTGGACAGGGTCTTTGTAATTGAATTCTTGTCCTTGGTTTCACAGCCCCCGGAGAATTAGTTGTTTTTTGTTGTTACACTTTGGGCTGTGATCCAGTAGATGGCACATAAGAGCAACAGAGGGTAGACCAGCTCTTACTGGAGGCTGGGTTCCTTTGTGTATCCTTGCATTTGCAGCTGTATTCTATAGTGCCAAGGAGAGAGAGGTGACCCCATCTTTCTTTTGGTCCGATTCTGGGCCCAGGTCCACTCCTGGGCCTTTGGGGAGCCACCTCCGATCACTGGCACTATGGCTGTGATTTTGTTGTTGTTGTTAGGTCTTTCAGCCTGTGGGGCACCCTTGGGGAGAGGTCTGGTACAGAGATAGACCATACCCTTAACGAACCAGCCCTGTTGGGGGAGGCCTACCTAGGTCTCATACCAGCCCATCAAACTGTGTGACTTACCTCCTCTGTTTTCCGAGTGTGGGCTACTCCCTCATTAGCCCAGATCCCAGCTCTGTACTCCTGAGCCATGGGCTGCGGCTCTGGGGCCCATGACCTTCTTGTGGCTCCCTCTTCTGGACCCTTGGGGTTGAATTCCCGGTGTGCTGGGGGGACTCAAAGGATTGCTAGGTTGCCAGAATGCACTTAGGTAGAGCAAAGCACCCAAGCTGGGCAGCAGAGACTGCACTGTATACACACTCCTAGGGGGCAGCCAGGCAGGAGCACTGGAAGGAGTTGATGGGCAGGTGGGCCTGCAGGACAGGTGTGCTCCAGTCCCATAGGGAAGCAGGCCTTGCTTTCTCTCTGGGGCCAGAGCCTCTGAGAGAGAGATGGGCAGCCCTAGAAGGTAGGTGCTTATGGCTGGGCTCTATCGGAGCTGACCCACACTCAAAGGTTCCCAGCTGTGTGCCTGTTGCAGCTCTGTCTCCATCTCTGTGTAATCTTCAGGGAGACCCTTTGCCAGCTCACATGTCCCTAGGGCTGTGGGATCCCCTGCAGATAAGACCCCAGAGGTCCACAGCGAGAGCAAGAAGCCCCCCAGTCCCTTCACTCACTCCTTTCCCAGGCACCATTCATGGCCAGGAACCAGCCCTAGCATTCAGGCACCCCAATCAGGGTTCCCAGTTTCCCCTCGCTTCAGCCTTAGGGACTGCATCTTTTCTCCATTCACATTGAGCATTTTCTCTCCCAATAAGTGTTCAAGTTATGTTGGTGTAGTTGAAATCATGTTCTATGCGAGCCAAACTTCTTGGCTGCATCTAGTCTGTCATCTTGCCACTCTAGGGTCATTTTCATTCACTTAAAAAAGTGCCACTTAGGAAAACAAAATAGGGGAGATGAGCACAAAGTACGCTTTGTAATATTCTCTGATGACACAATTTTACCCTCTTAACTGGCACTCCACATATCTCATTTTCATTTCATATTTTAATCATTTTTTAAAAAGTTTCAGAAAAAATGATGTACTTGAAAGAATGATTAAAGATTCAACTGAGAGGTGGTTTGGAGGAAGAGGAGGAGGAGACAGCCTAGCAGATGGAGAATGTTTGAGCAGAGAAGTAAATGGCAAATTGCATAAGATTGTGTTATGAAGTCTAGGCAGGAAAAGAGACTGCTTACACATTTATATTTGGATTTTGGAGGTCCCTAGGAGAACATGTTACTAACATTATCATAAATCAGGAAATAAATGTCTATACAGATGGTAAACCACTAGCTGGAAAAAGTTGATGGTTGAAAGGAGGTCAGTGATAATGATCACTTGGGTCTGTAAACAGATGACATTGAGGTTCTCAGTGTTCTACTTATCATGAGTCCAGTGGTCCTGCGGTTTATGTGCATGAGTGTTACTCACATCCTGCTAACCATGAAGTTTCCCATTCATTAAGATAAAATATCACTTAATCTGTTCTTACAGGTTACAGTTGTTTGGGGCCTACCATTCACTCAGACTAGAAATCCTTTTGTAAAGGAGGTTCTTTGTTTCTCCTGAAGCTTACCTCTTTACCTTTTTCTCTTTCTGACTTTCACATAGATTAACATGCACAAGGACATGTGCAACAGTTTAACCTTAGAAAATTAAGGAACTCTAGAGGTGCATCGGCCAACATGGTAATATATAACAAAATAGAAGATAATTCTGACTGAGGGAAAACACAGTGATATATTGGAAAGATAACAAAGAAACAGGCCGGGCACAGTGGCTCACACCTATAATCCTAGCACTTTGGGAGGCCGAGGTGGGAGGATCAACTGAGGTCAGGAGTTCAAGACCAGCCTGGCCAACATGGTGAAACCCCATCTCTACTAAAAATGCAAAATTAGCCTGGCGTGGTGGCACATGCCTGTAATCCCAGCTACCTGGGAGCCTGAGGCAGGAGAACCGCTTGAACCTGGGACGCAGAGTTTGCAGTGCGCCAAGATCATGCCACTGCACTTCGGCCTGGGTGACGGAGTGAAACTTCATCCCCCTGCCACCTCTACAAAAAAAAAAAGAATAACAAAGAAACCAGAAATCTTATGATTTTTCCATAGCTTCATTACATGATTGCTGCATGAGATCAGAAAAGAGAAGGAAAAGGATCCAGGAGGTAAATTGCAGAGCAGAGGAGGCCTCTGAGGATGACTGATCCGGGCCCAAATACAAATCCCAGTGGATATGAAATATGAAGTAGTGTACAAGAGTAGAGCTGTCTCTATTTTGCTAACGCAATGTACAATGTAATCTTTGGCCTGACAGGTATTTTCAGTGCAAACTAATCTCACCTGACATTTCTCTGCTTTAACACCTTGAATTCATCCCCATCATCCACAGCCTATATGCTACAGTTAAGACTCCTTAACTTTCCATAGTGTTCTTTGGTCATGAAATTTAAGTCGCTTGTCTAGTGTTCCTTCCACCGATCCTTCCTTCCTTTTTTTTTTTTACATCTTAAATACATACAATTTTTATTTTTTAATTATACCAAAATAAAGCTGGAAACAATAATTTAGACCCTATGTTTCTGGTTTACACACATTATAGGGTCACTTAATAGTTTTATAAATTGTCAACTTTTTCTTTTTTGTCTTTTTCTTTTTTTTTTTTGAAACAGAGTCTCGCCCTGTTGCACCCAGGCTGGAGTGCAATGGCGTGATCTTGGCTCACTGCAACCTCTGCCTCCTGGGTTCAAGCGATTCTCCTGTCTCAGCCTCCCGACTAGCTGGGATTACAGGCACCCGCCACCATGTCCGGCTAAATTTTTGTATTTTTAGTAGAGACGGGGTTTCACCATGTTGGTCAGGCTGGTCTCAAACTCCTGACCTCAGGTGATCTGCTTGCCTCAGCCTCCCAGAGTGATGGGATTACAGGCATGAGCCACCGCGCCCGGCCCAACTTTTTCTTAATGATACAAAGAAACAATTAAAGCAAAATATCAAGTCTTTAGTCATTTCCTTAGACAAAATTACCAACTGCTCATCTCCCTTCTGCAACACAAGAAGCTATAAGAAAATTCATAAAATTATCCTTGGTTTACTTATTAATAATTATCAAGTATTTTAGTGGCTCAGAGTTCAGGCAAAATAGCCATAAACAAAGACCACCACCACCAGGAGGAGGATGACATTGATGTTTACTGCAGTCCTCCACAAGGGCCTCTCAGATGACAGCTTCTTTCTCGGGGCTTCCTCCTCCTTGGGCAGCTTGAGCCCTGTCTTCCGCAAACCACAGAATAAGTCATAAGCTTTCTTGAGATATCCATGAGATTGCTCAGGATAATACGTACATTAGGAATAGGTTTTGTTAAGAGGGAGATTCCTAAGACTGCCAGTATAGACTGCCCCCCACCCACCACCAAAAAGAGAGAAAAAAAAAAAGGAATGATGGAAAAGTACAGACAGTGCTCTTAACAGATAATCTTGGGACAGTCACTGGAAGATAAGCAACTCCCTGTTCCAAAGGTGAACTCTGCAATCATATCCGTAAGGCCCATTACAAGTCCAACCAGAATGCTCCCTGTTCACTGACTCTTTCACAGAAGATGGCAAGCAGGAAAACAGCTGCAATTAGAGGCCCAAGATAACTAGCAATTGATTGTGCATAATAATCAGTTGCTGATTTTGAGATACTTGTACCAATGGGACCTATATGATGCTGATGACAGTCGCTAGAAAGACAAATAGCCTGATAAGAAAACCAAATGATTTAAATATTAAACAAAAGCATTTAAGCACCCCTGTTGTGCATTCATTATTGAATTGATTCTTGCTGCCACTTGTCGGTTTTCTAACTCAAATCAAGCTCTTTGACATTACATGAACCCATGCCATGATTAACAATTATGTTAGCAAAATGTCAGTCCCTTCTTTCTCCCTTTTACTCGTGACTATGTCAAATTGTCCACTTCTTTTTGAAGTGCTTCATATCACCCATTTGCTTTATATTCCTTCATTCTTTCATTTCTTTTTTTCCATGACAAATTTTGTTCATCATTAAAAATCTGACTCTCATGTAACCTTCCCTGCAAAGCCTTCTTAGAGCCCCATAAACAGAATTCATAACTCATGGCTTTGTGCTCTTATCACATGTGTGCTAAGCTAATTGCAGTAGACTGTAGGGTGAAATAATTAAAGGAACGTTTGCTGAAGTCAGATTGCCTGGGTTCTAAGCCTGGCTTTGTCTTTTCCTATCTTTGTAACATTTGAGAAGTTATTTAACTTCTCCATGCCTCAGTTTCCTCATTTGTAAAATGCAGATAATAGACATATCTACTATATAGTATAGTTATGAGGTTTAAATGAGTTAATAAATATGTGTGATTCCATTAATGTCTGGTACATAGACATGCTATTATTATTATCACATTTTATTATGGGTTATTATGCCTGGTTCTTCCATTGGTTGGTGAACTCATACATCTCAAAGATCACGGCTAAAATGTCTTTGTAAAATTAACAACAACAATTATGCTTGACACAACACAGGTAGCCAGTAAACTGACTTCAAGAAGATGGCTTCTTTCATAAATGGTTTGAACACATTGGGTGGGTCTTTGAAATTGAAATGGAGGAAAATTTATCTTCTCCCCTGCCTTCCTGGTACCCCCTTCCCTACAATGTGAGCAGAGACTTCTTTTTCTTAGGCAATTATCTCATTTCTTTAATTTCTAGAATAATCTGCATTTGTAAGGATATTTTTAGAGTCTGCAGACACATTAATTTGTAAAGGCAGAATTCAGACGTGCACCTGTAAGGAGGGCTTTGAACTACCCAGTTTTCTCCACTCCTCTAATCTAATATATTGGGAAGAACTGAGATTAGCACCTATGATAGAGTGACCATGAGTAAGCTTCTAGGCTGCGCTTCCTGATTTGCACTGTCTGTTCTTAGGTCTTCCTCTCAGGAGTGTCATGAAGCCGTGTCTTCCACTCAGTAAGCGTCAGTTAATGCGGATGTACTATAAGAATGAACTAAATAATTAGGCCTTATGATCCGTTCTGTTGTGGAAGAAAATCTTAAGTATTTATAAGATTAAAAAGTTTGACCTTTTTGAAAATTTTCAGACTAGAATTAGATTGGAATGTTTTTGGTCAACTCCTGTGAATTTACTTCAATATTTACATATTTAAAATACACAACTTGGTGTTATCTATCTTGCTACACACATATATATACAAATTTATATACATATATACAATATAAAAACATCACCACTTACATATGTGTGTATATATGTATGTATGTATGTATGTAATATATGTAAAATTATCACCACCAAGCTAAGGAACATACCTGCTATCCACAGATGTTTTCTTCCTGCCCCTTTGTAATGCCCTACTCCTGTCCTCACACAAAGAATCATCTGCTTTCTGTCAATATAGATTAATTTGCATTTGCTAGAATTTTACAAAGATGAAATTATATAGACGTACTTTTTTCTGGGGGGTGGGGTGCAGATTTGGCTCCTTCTGCTTAGCATGATTATTTTGAGATTTATCCATGTTGCCGTGTGTATCAATTGTTCAATGTTTTTACTACTGAGTGGTATGGATTTGGATGAATAAACCACAAAGCATTTTCAATTAAGGAATACTTGCGTCATTTCCAGTATTGGACTATGACAAATAAAGCTAATGTGAATATTAATGTACAAGTGTTTGTATAAACATATGTTTAATTTCTCCTGAGTAACTACTTAATATGGAAAGGGTGAGTAATATAGTGGATATATGTTTAATTTTTTAGTAACTGGAAAATTGTTTTTTTAAGTGGCTGTATCATTTTAGATTCATACTACCAGATTGTGATAGTTCCAGTCAATGCACAGTCTCAGCTTATACTTTTAATGTCGGTCATTCTAATTAATAGGTGTACTGTGGTATCTTAACATGTGTTTATTTGCCATCATTATAACAACGGTGATGAATTCGAATATTTGTTCATTTTATGGGTTTTCTTATTATTGAGTTTTGAGAATTTTTGCATATTCTGAATACAAGACTTTAGTCAATGCCTGATCTGCAAATATTTTCTGAGATTTATGTTTTTAATCTCTTAACAATGTCTTAGGAGGAGCAAAACTTTTTAATTTTGATAAAATCTACAGTATCAATTTGATTTTTTTATAAATCATGCTTTTTGAAATGCTTTCTTAAAATGTTTCTGTCTACTTATTCTATCAGTGATTGAGAGAGTGGCATAAGTATCTCCAAAAATACTTGTGGATTTGTCTACTTTTTCTTGCAAGTCTGTCAAATTTAGACATCATATGGAATTTTGATTGCCTTAGAATATCTAAAGCTATCTTGACAAAGAACAAAGGTATATGATATAAACTAAAATGTTTTGAGAAATACTATGACACAGATTAGTGTTGACACACCACACCACCTGGCAGGTACCCCGAGTCCAGCGGAGACAGAGGAATTAGAAAGAGACAGAATAATAATTTAAAAGGCGGGTCCAGGGGACCATAGCTTCCGAGGCTTGCTCACGGCCCTGAGCTCTCGGCCTCCACCCAATTTATTGGTTTACAAGCTCTTTGTTCTTAGGGCAGATGGAAGGGGGAGGAAGGGATGAGGAAAAGGATTAATCAGTGAAGGAGAACTCCTGAGTCATTCAATAAGATGCATAGCAGTGGCGGTTTCTGTGAATTTCCTTGAGCAAAGGCATATGTCTAAACTACTTAAGATCTTTAACTTCTAGGGACTGAAATGGGTGGGAGCAGGTTTCAGGAGGAGCCAAGATGTTTGATTATACTCCACTGCTTCAAGAGAGTGTTAATTCCCCGAACAACCTGTGGCATGCCACAGAGCTGTTATGCTCTTGGGGCATAAAGACATTAGGGCAATAAGGAGACTTTTCTCCTCATAGTCTGCCCGTGGCTCCCCATGGGTGTCTCACACAGGGGAGACCAACTCATCTGGCATTCCAGAAACTCCCTTTCCCACAGATTAGGTTGTGTGTTATAGGTGATTGTAGAGAAAAAAAACAGAACAATAGAGAGTGCAAAAGTAGACCTAGACATATTTGGTAATTTTGTGAATGAGGTGCGATAGGAGCCTATATTTTATTCTATTGCTAACAAGACTTTCCTTTCATTATTGTTAGCAATAGGAGAAATAAGTGATTCGAAAACTAGGCAGGAAGTATGCAAGATAAACCTGGGGCATACTACGGTGCTAGAAGTAGGGGAGGTATCATAAAGCAAACAAAAAACACTACGTTGATGATTGATGCAAGTTTGTCAAAGGGATTCAGGAATCAACTAAAGGAACTCCGATGACAATGTTAGAACAATTTGAGCAGCAAATAAAGTATTATTGAATTATAACCCAATATATATAGTAATATCCATGAGTCCACACTGGTAACATAAATACATGATTGGACAAATAAATAAATGAGAAAAGAGAAAAATCTCACAAAGAAGAATTCTGAATAATTTATGAAGATACTTCACCCTAAATAAAGTGAAACATAACCATCCACTCTTTAAGTGTAAGCCATGCATACTGAATTTCTTCCAGAGAGTACAGAAAATATGAAAAAAAGTGTAACTTTTTAGTGAAGAAACCAGACCAACACTACCTCAACCACAAAATCAAGGTTGGCATCAACAGTAATAAGTGTGTTTAAAGTTGATAGTATGTACCTTTGATATAATATGGTGAAAATGAAACTTCATAAATCCACTCATTTGTGGTTAAATGATTTTTGACAAAGGTGTCAAGAACACACAATATTGGAAGGACAGAAACTTCAAAAATCTGTTGGAAAAACTGGATATCCACAAGCAAAAGAATAAAAATTGGCCTCATTTCACACTATGTACAAAAGTAAAGAACTCAAAATGGATTAAAAACATAAAGTATAAGATTTGAAAATATAAAATTACTAGAGAAAAACATTAGGGAAATCTTCTTGATATTGGTTTGAGCAAAGACCTTTTAGATTGAACTCCAAAAGCACAGGAAAGAAAAGCAAAAATAGATAGATGAGGGTACATCAAACTAAGAAGCTTATGTGCAGAAAAGGAAATAATTAACAGTGTGAAGAGATAACCTATGGCATAAAAGAAAATATTTGCAGCCATACATCTGATAAGGGATTGATATCCAAGTATATTAAAAAGTCAACTCAATAGCAAGAAAAAAATAAACCAACCTAAAAATAGGCCCAAATAGACATTTTTCCAAAGAAGACCTACAAATGGCCAACAGGTAAATGAAGATAGTTGACATCACTATTCATCAGAGAAACACAAATTAAAACCACAATGAGGTATCACCTCATAGCTATTAGGATAGGTATTATCAAGAAGACAAGATATAACATGGGTTGGCTAGGATGTGAACAGAAAGCCCTTGCACACTGGTGGCGGGAATACAAATTCACACAGCTATTATTTAAAACAGTATGGTTTCCTCAAAAATTAAAAAATAGAACTTCCATGTGATCCAACAATCCCACTACTGGTTATATATCCCAAGGAAATGAAATCAGTATGTTGATGAGATATCTGTACTCCCATGTTTATTGTAGCATTACTCACAGTAGCCAAGTTATGTAATCAATATGTGTCCATCAACACATTAATGGATAAAGAAAATGAGGTGTATATTCATAATGGAATACTACTCAGACTTAAAAAAAAATCTTGTCATCTGCTAAAACATGGATGAATCTGGAGAATATTTTGTTAAATGAAATAAGCCAAGCACAGAAAAACAAACACTGCATGATCTCACTTATGTGTGGAATCTAAAAAGTAGATCAAAGCAGCACGTAAAATGGTGGTTACCAGGGTTTGCGGGAGGGGATGGCAACTGGGGAGATGTTGGTCAAAAGATAAAAAATTTCAGTTAGGAGGAATAAGTTCAGTAGACTTATTGTACAACAAGGCAAGTATATCTAATAACAGTATATCGTATACTTGAAAATTGCTAAGAGAGTAGATTTTAAATGTTCTCACCACAAAAAAATAATAAATTTGTGAGGCAATGGATATGTTAATTAGCTTGATTTAGTCATTCCACGATGTATGCATATATCAAAGCATCAGTGTTGTACACCACAAATAATATATTTGTTCCAATTAAACAAGTAAACAAAAGAATATAGATGCTATTTAATAATGTTTCAATGACTCATTCATTGTAACTAGTGTAGCATATTAATATATGATGTTAGTAATAGGAAAATTATACAGGGCAAGGGAACTCTGTATTATCATAAAAAGTTTTTGATAAATTTAAAACTGTCCTAAAAATAACATTAATTTTAAAATATGAAAAAAGTTTCATCGTGGATATTTAAAGTGGAATTCTGTTAATGCAAGTTGAGTTTGAGCTTGCACAGAACTAACAGATGTGTACGAGACGGAAATGAGAGGTAGGCAGAGGATCTGACATGGGATGTCTGAGGTGTCTGGTACTATTTTCAATCAATGTTATTTGAGTGTCTATGTCTTATTAGAGCTTAAGTCAACTCAACAGAGAAAGATTAAAAGAATAAGCATTTAAGTATCATATTATTATCATAAGCCATACGTGCTGAGAAGAAAAGTAGCCAGTATCTGAGAGCAAGAAGAGAGGGATAGTGTATAATTTAGCTGCAGTTTCAAAGATGAGTTCTCTGAAGAAATGACATTTCTAGCCTTTACAAGTATATTTTTGTAGGTCTGATTCTGGCATACGTTTATGTTGTGTTGATTACCCTGAGGTACACAGGCAATACCAAATAAGCCAATAGTTTGGTTTGGCTTAGAGAAATCAGCCATAAGTGGAAGAAATACATTCACGCTAGCATTTGTGTTGGCTCAAAACAATAGAGTCCATGACTGACGGAGACCCTGACCAGCTCTATTTGATATGATTAGTGTAATGTGTTTTTAGATTTTCCAGGAAACAGCCCTTTACAGCTGTAGCTTACTCTCCTACCTTCCCTCCAGCTAAAGGCTTAGATGAATTACAAACTGTATAAGCAGAGGGCTATAAATAATTTTATGCATAAAGCAGCCTACATGAGCTGACCGTCAAGCAGAGAAACAACCAAAACAAAAAAAAAAAAAAAAGAAGAAAATGAAAAACAAAGAAAAACAAAGGGTGAATAAAATTGATCAACTGGAAACAGTAACCAAGACTTCTATGCTTAAATATTTAATGCCATTTCTCTGTAAGTCTAAACAGCAGAATAATTCCCCCTACGCCAGCATGGGTGAAGTTATTTTCTGTCCTGGGAATGATGGTCTAGACTGTGTTGTTTGGGCCCCAGACATCACTCTACCACGTAATTTGTCATGTTGTTGTATTAGATTTCAAATCTGTTTTAAAATACTTGAGTTTCTTATGCTGCCTACTTAAATTTAAGAATAAATTAGATTTGTTTCAGGGACTCCTTGGTTGTCAACAGGATTTAAAGACTTACAAAATCAGGTACATGCAAGTTATCATATGTGTGTGCGATTTACCACATAAGGAAGTCAAGGCTAATAGTTCAAACTCCTTGTATAGAAACAGCTAAAGATGTTACCAGGTATCTTACAGATCCTTAAAGAATTCTTCAAACTTAAACATAACCAATTTGAACAAAAAACAAACAAACAAATGCTGTATGTAGTACTTGAAGTGGTTAATGAGTGACAACTGTGTTGGATATGTACTTGTTTTCATATAAATATCTTATAGGGAGGAAATAAATATTAAAAATTTATTGGTCGGGTGTGGTGGCTCACGCCTGTAATCCCAGCACTTGGGGAGGCTAAGGCGGGCAGACCGCGAGGTCAAGAGATCGAGACCAGCCTGGCCAACATGGTGAAACCCCATCTCTACTAAAAATACAAAAATTAGCTGGGCGTGGTGGTGTGCTCCTGTAGTCCCAGCTACTTGGGAGGCTGAGGCAGGAGAATTGCTTGAACCCGGAAGGCAGAGGTTGCAGTGAGCTAAGATTGTGCCACTGCACTCCAACCTAGTGAGAAAGCGAGACTCCATCTCAAAAAAAAAAAAAGAAAGAAAAATTCAAAGGCCTAATATGTAGCAGGCACTCAACTATGAATTGGAGATGTAGCAGTGAACCATATGTCCAAGGGATTTCTTTCATGGAGGTTACTGTCCAGTACAGGATTTAAAAACGAGTAGGCAATTAACAACTAGAATAATAGATGGCATAGCAAGGGTATACTAGATTGGGAACAATTAACTGCATGTACATGGATCTGTGATTCAGATTTTAAAGTTCTGATTAGATTTTGCCTTTAAGCAGGAGAGAGAGGAAATAACCTCAAAGAAACATATATGGGATGGGATAATGTGTAATAGGCTTTTCTAGGCTAAACATGTGCAAACACTAAAGATTACAGGCCTACCATTGCTATGGCTTATGCTGTTTTTGAGTGGATAGAAAAAAAACAGATTGCTAGTCATCACCGCATGATAGTATTTTATCACCAGAAGATAGTGTTTTTATTATGTTGAGGAGTATGTTTTAATCAATTACATGAAAGAAAAGGGGGAAGGGAATGTAACTGGCATTATCAGGTTATGCCACTATTTCACTATGTCAATCTTATTATTTCTTCTAAGAAAATATCATGTCTTCGTAATCCTTATGAGAGAAAAAATGAGAGGGAAATGGCATGAAATAGACCATGTGCATAAGACATAACGTCAGTAAAATCCCCCCAAATTAGAAAGAATGTTGACAGATGCACTAAAGTGAAAGACATCATTTCATACAATATCATAGCCAAAAACTTAGATCTAATGCAATCTTTTTCATTGTACTTCTGTTCATAAGAATGTTCTTTTCCCTAGCGTTTTCTTCAGGGCAACGTGGACATCTTTATTCCTCAGGCTGTAGATCAGGGGGTTCAGCATGGGCACAACAATAGTATAAAACACAGAGGACACTTTCCCCTGGTCCATGGAGCTGACAGATGATGGCTGCAGGTACATGAATGCTGCAGACCCAAAGAAAACAGAAACAGCCGAGATGTGGGAGCTGCAAGTGCTGAAGGCTTTGGACCTGCCCTCAGTGTAGCGAATGCGGAGGATGCTGGCAATGATGAAGATGTAAGAGCTGAGGATGGTCAGGCTGGGGACAAGGATGTTAATTCCACTAAAGATTAAAATCAGTAACTCATTAATGTAAGTACTAGAACAGGAGAGCTTCAAGATAGAAATAAGATCACAGAAATAATGGTTGATCACATCAAATTTGCAGAATTGAACCCTAAACATACAGCCTATATGAGCTGACGCACAAATCAGGCCTATTACATACACCACTAAAATCAGAGAAAAGCAAGCCTTATTGGATATGATGATGCTGTACAGCAAGGGGCTACAGATGGCCACGTAGCCGTCATATGCCATTGCAGCCAACATGTGACACTCTGCAATAGCAAAAACGAGGAAGAAGTAGAGCTGAGTCATGCATTCAGGGTAGGAGATGATGTTCTTCTCTGTCACAAAGTTCACCAGCATCTTAGGGGTAATGACAGTGGAATGGCAGAAGTCAATGAAGGACAGACTGCTGAGGAAACAGTACATAGGTGTGTGCAGGTGAGAACTGAGCCCAATCAGTGTGATCATGCCCAGGTTCCCCAGCACTGTGACTACATAGATTCCCAGGAAGACGAGGAAGAGGGGCAGCTGTAGCTCTGACTTCTCTGTTAGCCCAACCAGAATAAACTTAGTCACAAAAGAATGGTTTTCTGCTGCCATTCTTTGATGAGTTTCTGCAGGGGAGAGAAAAAACATGGTATTTAGGTGAATTGTATTGTTATTCTCCTTTTGTAGGAAAGTGATCCCTTGTTTATATATGATCATTTAACTCCGGTTCAATTAACTGAATCATAATTTATCCCAATTTAGCATGTAGTAATCTTTATTTTCTAGTAACTGGTATTCTATATGATAATATTTTACCTATGTTTATAATAATTAAAAACTTTGAGTGTCTATTTTGTATTTTGAATATTTCAATGATCTTCAAGTCAGTATTTTTAAGCTAATACTTGCAAACTTAAATTCTTAGAGAAGCCAGTGTAAATAAGTAAAAATGGCTGAGTGACAACTTGGGGAGAACAATCCCTGTCTACAGACAGTAACCTCTAATAACCTGAAACTAATTTCTGTCAGGGATGAACAGAAATCTTATTATTGTCAGACTTCAATGTTTTATGTAATTATCAAGAAATCCAGATTTGTACATCAAACATTCATATTTTCAGACATTATTAAAATGAAACAACATTTACAATGATCATTGTGAATATCTATCTGCTGCAGTGGCCATAATTATACAGTTTGTCATCTCTGAGCTACAGGGAAGTATCTCTGACATCCCTTGAGGGAAACAGAATGAGTAGTTGTTGAATGGACAGGCTCTAAAGTCAAAGTGCTTGTATTCAAATTCTGACCCCGTCATTTACTAGCCAATACCCTTGAGCATGTAAAATAGCCTCTTTGTGTCATGACTTTCAAATCTGTAAAAGAGAACATTATTAACCTATTAATAATAACATTTTCAGACTCATAAATCAGTAAGTGAAGAAGGTCAATCTTATGTTGTTAATGTCTATTAAGCGTGTAAAAATGGGAAGATAGTAAGAAATTACTGATTTCAATGTACAGAAACAGCAATCTTACTACCTCAGTATTTCCTTTGATTTTCTTCAACTTTTGTGAATTAGAAGGGAGTAAAAAGTAGAGACACACAATTAAAAAACAGAATTACAAGTGTGATCCCCTTTCTGTTAAACAGTGAATAGATGATGTAGCTATTCCATTCACTAAAGTTACATTTCAAATGAATGAGTCAAATTATTTAAAAAAATACAAAATTTAGAAAATCTATACATTTCTTAACACATTTCTACACCAAAATAAATCTGAAATAAATCAGACCTGAGCATAAAACTAACTATAAAACTTCTGGAAAAACAACTGATAAAATCCTTGATATCTTGGAAAAGTTTATGATTTCTTAGAAAGAACATGGATTAAGCTGGAAACCATCATTCTCAGCAAACTATCGCAAGGACAAAAAACCAAACACTGCATGTTCTCACTCATAGGTGGGAACTGAACAATGAGAACACATGGACACAGGAAGGGGAACATCACACACCAGGGCCTGTTGTGGGGTGGGGGGAGGGGGGAGGGATAGCATTAGGAGATATACCTAATGTTAAATGACAAGTTAATGGGTGCAGCACACCAACATGGCACATGTACACATATGTAACAAACCTGCACATTGTGCACACGTACCCTAAAGCTTAAAGTATAATAAAAAATAAAATATTTTTTAAAAAGCAAAAGAACCAAAAACTAACAATGTTTCGATTATATTTCATCAAAATGAAAACAAAATTAATGACATTAAGAAAATGAAATGGCAAGCTCAAGGTAACACATATGCCTGACAGAGGACTTTTATCTAAAATACGTAAATAACATATGCAAATAATAGTACACAGACAACCAAATATTAACTACTAGTGAAATATCAGAAGAGCTATCTCACAGAAAAGATATATGACTGGTCAGTAAGTTTATGAAAATATATCCAATGTTTTTAGTAATCAAGGAAATGAAAATTAACACCATAATGAGACACTACAAACCATGATAGAATAGAAAAAACAAAACAAAACAAAAACACCTGAATATATCAAGTGTCAGGAGCATCTCTACTTGTCATACAAAGCTGGCAGGGAGTGTGAAATTGTTCAACTGTTTTGGAAAAGAGTTTGCCAATTTCTTATAAACTTAAACAGACATTAAATAAATCCAGAATTCTGCCTCTTAGTATTTACCCAAGAAAAATGTAAACATTTGTCTACATAAAGATATGTACAAAAATGTACATGGCAGCCTTATTCAAAACAACCATAAGTTAGAAACAACCTCAAATGTTCATCAACAGATGAGTAGATGCATGAGTTGTGGTGTGTGTGTATGTGTGTGTGTGTGTATATGTACATATATATAAAACTGAATACTATTGAGAATTTAAAAAGTAAATATAAATCACAAATACGTTTAACATGGATCTCAAAAACATTATGTTTCTTTGCAATAGATTTTCCACCAGAAACCCCAAATGTATAGAAGTATTCACCAGTGTAGCTCTCTAGACCTACAGGATTTTGTGTGTAAGAAATTTCAGTAATGGAATGAATTTATTTAATAGATATCATATATTCAGATTTTATCTTTCTTTTTAGTTTTCTTAAATTGAATTTTCAATTCAGTTGCTTACTTTACAAATTATGAAACATTTTACATTATGTTTTTCATAATAATTAACATTTAAAAAATATTTGTAGGCTATGCAAAATTTTTTGCTTCTTCATTCCTGAATCCAATAAATTAAGGTTGTCTTTTTGTCTTGATCATTCATGCTAGAAGTCTGTCAATTTTATTAATCAATTTAAATAAGCTAACTTTTTACTCTGTTGATTTTAACATTTATTTTTATTTAAATTATTTCTAATAATTTATTTTATTTTTATTCATTTCTTTAGCATGATTTCCTGTCCTTTTCCTAGATTTTTGAACTGAACCTTAATCAACATCTTCCATTTATAGTCTTTTGTAATATGTGCATATAAGGTATAAATTTCCCTCTCAGCCCTACTTTAGCTACTTGTCACAAGTTTTGATATATCAAAGTTATGATATTATACAGTTTAAGACACTTTATAATTTCTTTTTTATATTTGTGTTGTTCCGTGGATTATAGAAAGTAAACTGTTAACTTTACAGAAGTCAGGCTTTTTAAAATGTCTGTCTTAATTTCATTGTAGCTAACAAACATACTCTGAATCATTGAAGTTATTTCAAATTGCTGAGATTTTCTTTATAATACAACATATCATCAGTTTTCATAAATATTCCAAATGCATCTTAAAAGGATACATTGCCTGATATTGAGGTCCCTTAATACACACATTTCAATGATGTTCACTTCACTAATTATGTTGTTGAGGCATTTAATATGCACAGTGATATTTTTGTCTGATGTTCTAACGGTTAGTAGCTAAGTATGTCCATGTCTCTCACTAAAATTTCTGATTTTTAAATTTCTTCCTTTAGTAGTTGAATCTTTACCAAAATCTTTATTGCTATGGAATGCAGAACTTTATATTTAGTAATGTGTCTTGCTTAAATCTTCCTTCGTCTCTTGTTAGCATTTTTAGCATTGTTAGGCTATCACAATATTTTTTTGGTTAATGTTTGCACAGCATACTATTTTTCACTCCCTTTCATTAGATTTTCTGTTTCCTTATATTAAAATTTATTTTTGAAAGAAGCACAAAAAGAATATCATGTGAAATAGCAACAAATTAGCACCAAATACCTCAAAATATAAAGCAAAACATATACAATGACTATAGGTTAAAACTTTTAAGTAATCTTAAATTAGACAAACTTAAGTCTCCATCAGTGGATGGATGGATGGATAAAGGAAATGTGGTACACATACACAATGGAATACTATTAAGCCAAAAAACGAACGAAATCCTGTAATTTGATGGTTAAGTGAAATAAGCCAGGCACAGAAAGACAAATATTTTATATTCTTACTCATACGTGGAAGCTAAAAAAGCTGATCTCATGGAGATAGAGTAGAATGACAGTCACTGGTGGCTGGAAAGACTGACTGGGTGTGGAAGTATGAAGAGATATGGATTAATGGGTACGTGACATACAGTTAGATAGAAGGAATAGTTCCTAATGTTCAGTAACACAGTAGGGTGATTATAGTTAACAACAACATGTAGTGTATTTTTAAATAGGTAGAAGGTTTAAAATGTTTCCAACACAAACAAATGATAAATGTTTGAGGTGATGAGTATCCTAAATACCCTGATTTGATCATTACACATTGTATGCATCTATCAAAATACCACAGGTACCTCACAAATATGTACAATTATGTATCAACTAATTTTTTAAAAACCCTAATAAGAGAAGAGATTTACCATATCTGTGGATAATAAGACTCACTATTATAAAGATATTAAGTCTCTCAAACTTATGTATAGATTTAACATAATTCAATTGCTGGATATAACATCTAAACAGATGATCGATATGTTTAAAAAATATATCAATATGTAATTCTTTTTTTAACTTTTAAGTTCAGGGTACATGTTTAGGTTTGTCATATAGGTAAACTTGTGTCATGGGGGTTTGTTGTACAAATTATTTACTCACCCAGGTATTAAGCATTGTACCTATTAGTTATTTTTTTCTGATCCTCTTCCTCCACACATAGCTTAGCTGCCACTTATAAATGAGAACACATTACATTTGGGTTTCCATTCATGAACTACTTCACTTAGAATAATGACCTCCAGCTTCATCCAAGCGGCTGCAAAAGTCATTATTTTGTTCCTTTTTATGGCTCAGTGGTATTCTATGGTGTATACTGAAATTTTAAAAAATTATTTAAAGACAAAAAAAATGCATGACTATGAAAAATATATCAACAAATTCCTGAAGAGAATATTTAGATACTGCTGTTTATGTCTGAGGATTTATGGAAAATATCATCTCAGTGCAATATCAAAGGGGAGTCAAGATATTGATTCTCAAAAGTTAACAATTATTGTACTCTAAAAACTCAAGATGGATATTATAGCCATTATTCTCTATATCCCTTTCTCAACATCTGTATATAAGATCAGTAAATGCCTTGCTTTCTAGAATACAGCTCGTCTCAATCAGATAATTTTATATTAACACTAATATTTCAATTGCTTGGTGTGAATGTGCTATAGACACAGTTCATCTTCAATTTATACAGGCAGGTGGCACAGGCTTTCAGAATATATGCTGGATAAGATAGAGTTATGGGAGGCTTGTTGCTTTACAGTCAGATGTAGAAGAAAATATTTGAACACAAAGAGTGTTTGTTGATTCAGGTATTTCCCAATATGATTGATCATCACAGTCATCTAGGGAGATTGAAGTGTTTACAAAAAAGGATTAATGTAAAAATGTAAACATGATTATAATGAAAAACAAACGTTCCAGAATCACCTCCCTATATACTCTATCCTGTTCCCCAGACACTAATCTCTGTAGAATAGTTCCAACAGTGTCTGCTTCTAGTTCTTCTGAAGTTTACTGCTATAGTTCTAATTTGTTCATATTGCTATTTGTAGAATTAATAACTTTGAGCATTAAAAACTTCCAAACTGCATGTGGTTTTATTTTAGTTAAACTAGTATTGCTACCCCCTCTCTAATTCTGATAATTGATAGTTGTATTCTAGTTCAGATATCTTTTAGTAGCTTCTGAAACTTTGAAAATATTTTCAAATCTTTGTCAAATTTCAAATTTTTTTCAACTCATGTGTAAATATCCTGTTTGTGTTGTTTAATATAGATTTGCTACCACTCTACCAGATTTAGTGAATCAGAATCTTTGATGTTGAGGTTTAGAGATCTGACCTCTCTGAAAAATAAAATAAAAACACACAAATGACACTTCTAAATCAATGATGATGATCATCCAGGTTTGAGAACAGAGTTGAAACAAATTAAAATGTAGCAGGGAAAATATTTATTAACTTCTAAGCTTAGTTTAAAAATTAATTCTTCCCATATAAGATATCTGGTTTGAGTGTAGTTTATATAAAAGCATAAAGGCATTTTAAAAAATAATCCAATGGAGTCCATAGAATAATAGATGATAAAGCAATTGAAAATTCATAGCTTATTTATTAAAAAACAATTTCTAGAGTATGATGAGCCATAATCTCAATAAGATCTACGACATAGCTTCCCAACTCATGTGCCATGGACTTAGAATGTGTTACAATGGTGCTGAAGTGCTGGTGTTTAGTCCTTGGGGCAATGAAGAGAAGTCTGTGGCATCCAGAGCCTCTTAGAGGTCAGCATTTGCCACAAGCTGGGGTAAATTTCTTACCCCAGATGCTATGCAAATATTACCATCTTCTATGGGCACTATGAGGTTGGCAAGTACTATTCTATGCCTATCATATTAAATTTTGAACTTTATGTTTAATTATGAATGTCTTTTTTATTATTATTATTATTTATTTATTTATTTGAGATGGAGTCTCGCTCGCTCTTGTTGCCCAAGTTGGAGTGCAGTGGTGTGGTCTCGGCTCACTGCAACCTTCACCTCCTGGGTTCAAGCAATTCTCCTGCCTCAGCCTCCTGAGTAGCTGAGATTATAGGCGCCCGCCACCACGCTCAGCTAATTTTTGTATTTTTTAGTAGAGACAGGGTTTCGCTATGTTGGTCAGGCTAGTCTCGAACTCCTGACCTCAGGCGATCCGCCCAACTCAACCTCCCAAAGTGCTGGGATTACAGGTGTGAGCCACGGAGCCTGGCCATGAATGTCTTTTTTAAGGAGGAACATTGACAAGATGAAAGTTGTATAGAAGCTGTGAAGAGCTTGGAAAATATTTAAAGGTAATGAAATAATTAGCAGACACTTTTATACATTGAAAGAGAAACAAAAGAGAAGAGGTGTTTATTTTGTGTATGGTGTTTGACAGACTTAAGAATACACCCTTTAGATGTTGAAGATGCTAGCCAGAGAGGAGATAATTCAATGGGGAAAAGTCTCAGAGAAGAAGAAAATAATGGGATATGGAGTACGTGTACAAGAGCTAGATTTAGAAAGGAAGGACTCTCCTAAGAGAGAAGAGAGGTGATGTTGGGGTGCAGAAGATGATTCCCCAAAATATGGCACTCTGGCATGCTGAGTGCTTTAAAAGGCCTTGGAAATAAGCTTCAGAACCAAGGGCTGTTTCTGACCTTCTCCCACCTCCTTGTCTCTCAGATCCTCTTCCCCAAAGTACTGGGTGGGACTCTTTGGAATTTCCTTATCTAACTAAGCTTCTTTCCCAAAGAAATGCAGTTGTCTTAAGACCCCCTTCTTTGGAATCCAGGAAAGATAACCAGGAAAGATTAACCACCAGAGAAGAGACTGGGAGTCATCACCATGCACAGACAGACTTTTCATCTGCTATTCTCAAGGCAGCTCCAAGAGATTACCTGGGGGACTTTATCTGCATAATAAGACAACCTGTGTCCCCATGCATTTCCACCCCTCACCTTCCATAACTTGTCCGTCTCATCCAGCTTCCAAAGATAATCATTTACAAAATAATGTCTACCTCTTGCGTCCACACATCTCTCTTCCATGAAGAGAGTATTTAAGCCTCAACCACCTGGTCCTTCTTGGGTTTCATACTTAGTGTATGACTTCCATGTATATACACATTAAATAAATTTTGTATGCCTTTTTCTCCTATTAAAAAAGAATACACCCTTTAATCAATATAAAAATATTCTAATAACTTGAGATCTTAAAAAAGGAAGAGGCTATTTATTTCTGGCCATTAAATATATTTAACCACAGCATGACGATCCATCTTCAGAAAAATTAGGGAAAAGATTTTCTTAATTTATCTTATGATTAAAAACAAATATCCACTATCTCTCATCTCTTTCTACTCTTAGGTCTTGTATCTTCCTCCTTTGTGAGAGAAATATTTGGCTTCATTCAGTTCCTGGAATTTGTCACATTCACTTAGCTGTCTGACTTTTTGTTTACTGTTCCTTCTACATTAAATAGTCTTACCAATTACACTTTCTGTTGTCTGGCAAACATTTGTTTTCTTTCATATCTCATTCAAAACTATAATAATCATAGAACCATTCTCCAATTCCTTGTAATTGATTGGACCTTTCTACTGCATGCTCAGAAAATTCTAATTTCTAAACAGCACATTTTTAGACTGAACTGTACTGTAAGCCAGGCTGTGGATCAGACATCCTCTCTTCTGTATTCCCAGTATTAGCCCATATCTGGCAAATCACTGAAAGTTTAAAAAGTACTTTTAAGAATAAATGATTGATTAAATGAATGAACGAAAGTATTCACAAATATTTCCTACAGTTTTTACAGTGATTACTTCTAGACCTAATAGCATCAAATCATAAGTGTGAGATGAACACACTCACCTTTCTTTTGCCTGAAACCTCAGTTCCAAATTTTATTTGCAACTTGCTGTCTTTGACTTGGAGAATGGCACTAATGCTGCTGTTGGAAGTCATAGGTACCAAGCCAGCGTTCTGTAGTCTTTAGTCCTGAGACTGCAAAGCACAAGACATCTCACTCACTTTTGAAATCAATCTGCACCGCTGATCAGCATCTCCAGTTGTCACTTTTCAGTTGTGTTTCTCTAGCTCTAGCACACATCCTCCCCTTTTACAGTGGCCTGAGCAGTTTTGATTGCTAAACCTGGGTTTAGATACGCCAGGTACCAAATATCATGCAGACAAACATTCTCCAAGGATTTCCATTTCTCTGGGAACACAAGCTCCTGAGAAAAGAAGCAATTACTGTTGGCATTTACCCAATTGTCTAATTTTTCTTCAGGGGAATTTTTGTCAATTCTAAACTTGTCGATTAGCAATAAAGATTTGTGCCTACTGGCAATAAAGGATTTTGTGAAAAGGTATATTCTGATCCAGCAAGTCTGAGTGCGGTTTGAGATTCTGCATTTCTTAGAAACTACAAGCCAGTACTATTTGTTCACAGCCCAGACTATTATTAGCTGATTTTAGAGGACCAAGACACTTCCTGAAAAGTTATATCTTACTCATATTAGTGTTAGAAATTTTAAAATAATAAATCAAATCACTGCTTGACAGATCTCATGCTTATATTTCAACAGCTTCTCCAAAACCAATGAACTATCTTCCTTTGTTGCTAAATTGAATATTTGCAGGAAAGCAATAAAACAGCCTAAATATAATTCATGTAATCCTCCATTGTGGCCGGGGAGCAGTGGACTGTGATTGATCTACACTATTGTACTTCATGGTTGAGGTGGTGAAAGTCAAATTCAATACTGGTCAACAGTATAATGTGACTTTTAAAAAAGACTCAATATATCTTTAGTCTTCACTTGCAAAAAAAAAAAAAAATGGTCCTAGAAAATGGAATTGCTTAGTCTTATTTAACACTCAACAATAGTTGGACTACTGTTTAGTTTGGAGTACCATAATTTTGTGGGGTATAGAAAAACTGGAAAATTTCAGGAGAAAAATGTTCTGGAAATTTTGTCATTTGAAGATTGTCAGAGAGAACTGAAGATATTTAGCTAGCACAGTAATACTCTGTTTGACACATGATAGCTATCTTCAAATATTCAGCATATTCCTATATTTAGGAGATGTTGAATTCATTTTCTTCATGTCTAAGAAATTGCTGTAATACTAACTGCTAGAAACTATGGTAAGACACATTTTGTTTCACAACAAAGAAGAGCATACAAATACATCCAGAAATGGAAGCAGTTACCTTAATGTGCAGGACTTACAACCAGAAATGTTAGAGCATAGCCTATGTAACCACTGAGCAGATATTTTTCAAGTACACAGTACAATATGAGTAATTGGGTTAAATCATTTTTAACATCTCTTCCAGTTCTAATATTTCATGACTTGATATAAAAATTCCAGTATATCCTGATATTCGGTTGGACAGTCCTAGGTTCAAATCTCAGCTTAACTCCATACTTGCTGTGTGACTTTAAGAAAATCACTTCCACCAAGAAAAGCTGGCCATAACTGGGCATTAGGAAGAGGCATGAAATTTTCCTCAGAGCTCTCAGGAGGAACCACCTATGCTGACATCTTGATTTTTTGACTTCTAATTCCCAGAACTATGAGACAATAAATTTCAGTTGTTTAAAGCTGCCCAGAGTATGATACTTTGTTACAGCTATTCTAGAAAATGAATGCACTGTAAGACATGGAAGTTTTTATTTTCATTGACCTCTACTAACTGTATTAAATATCGTAATGTACTCATAAAACACCAATGCTTGGATAATTTTAGTTTGAGGGCTAAATGAAAGCTTCTGGTAGATGTTGGTGTAAACACAAGAGGTGTTCCTAGGGAACTGCACAAAGGAGAAATGATAAGGTTTTCTTCTAAAAATAAAAATGTTGAGGAACAAAAGAAACACATGCACTGTACAGGTTATTTTAGTTCCATATATAGACTAATTAACTTGTTTGGAAATAAAGATTATTAAACTTTTTACTCAAAATATTTATTAGTATTATATCATTTTGAGATAATAATTTACAATAGATTTTCTTAATCAAATTTGCTTTGAAAGAAAATATTTGCAAACCATACATCTCACAAGCGATTGATATCCTACATATATAAGAAATGCAAACATCTCAATGGTAAGAAAACAAACAGATTTAAAAATAGGCAAAGCATCTAAATAGACATTTCTCAAAAGAAGACATAAAAATGGTCAACAGGTATATGAAAAAGTGTTCAAAATTACAAATCATCAAATTGCAGAGAAACTACAGTGAGATATCACCTCATACTTGTTAGGATAGTTACTATCAAAAAGAGAACGGATAACTGTTGGAGAGGATGTGGAGGAAAGTGAACCATTACATGCTGTTTATGGGAATGTAAATTAGTACAGTCATTATGGAAAACAGCATAAAGCTTCCTCAAAAAATTAAAAATTGAACTACCATATGACCTAGCAATACCACTATCGGGTATATATTCAAAAAATACAATCAGCACGTCAAAGAAATATCTGCACTCCCATGTTTATTGTAGCATTATTCACAATAGCCAAGATATAGATTAACCTAGGTGTCCATCGCTTAGGAAGAATGGATAAACAAAATGTGGTATATGTGCACAATGGAATAATATTTAGATTTAAAAATTTGCAACAATACAGATGAACCTGTAGGACATTATATTACATGAAATAAGCCAGGCACAGAAAGACAAATACTACATGATCTCACATACATGTGGAATCTAAAAATGCTGAACTCACAGAGGTAGACAGTAGAATTGTGTTTATCTGCAGCTGGGCGTGTGGGAGGAGATGTTGGTCAAAGGATATAATATTTTAATTAGATAGAAGGAATAAGTTAAAAACTATTGTATAAATGGTAACTATAGTAATAAAAATCTATTGGATTAGTGTTCTCACCACACACACACAAATAAATATGTTAGGTAATATATATGTTAACTAGCTCAATTTAGGCATTTCGCTATACACACACACACACATTCAAAATAACTTGTACACAATAATATATACAATATTTTTTGACCATTAAAAGTTGTCAAAGTTTTTGTTTGTTTGTTCATTGGTGGTGGTGGTAGTTTGGGGGACAATCTCTCTCTGTCGCCCAGGCTGACGTACAGTGGCACAATCAAGGCTCACTGCAGCCCCAACTTCCTGGACCCAAGCAATACTCCTGCCTCAGCCTCCCAAGTAGCTGGAACTTCAGGCACACACCACCATGCCCAGCTAATTTTTGTATTTTCTGCAGAAATGAGGTTTCTCCTTGTTGCCCAGGCTGGTCTCAAACTCCTGAACAGAAGTGATTCACCCACCTCAGCTCCCCAAAGTGCTGGGACTACAGGCATGAGCCACTGCACTCAGCAAACATAAATAGTTTTCTAACGGACTTTAAATTATTGTTTTATCTTCATTTAAGCTGTTAATTTTTTAGTAATGTTTACAAATTTGAGTCAAAATGCGAAGAAGGAAAAGCTAATATTGGAGTATGTTATTGAAAAGCTGGTATGAGCAATGGTGGTTCAATTTTACCAGCACTTCCTCAGAAGTGCATATGATGTTTCCCAAGATGGCTGTCCTGTGTGACAGGATGATGTGGCATTACACACAATTTTCACTGTTACTGGGTAAAGGTGACCCCAAGAGCAAGAATTCTTTGAGCTGACTGTACATAAGCCAAATGAGCATCTGAAATTGTGGAGAAGTTTCCAGAGTGAAAGTGCAAAGCACTTGCTGGAAATTTGAAGTGTAACACCTTCAATGCAAGTTAACTCTCAGCTTGCACACAGCTAATAAATGTGCCTCAAGTCTGCTGAAATGAGAAACAGGAGGTAGTCTGAAAGAATGTGGCATGAGAAACCAAGGGTGTTTGGTATAATCATTAATAAATATTTGAGTGTGTATTCTCTACTCGAGCTTATAGTCCATTGAAGCAAGGGAAATGTACAGAGTAGACGTTCAAATGATCATAAAATTACCACAAGCAATGCAAGCTAAGAAGAAAAAGAGATAGTTTTTCTGAAAGAGAACATAAGGATGATATGGAAAAGTAATGCAGATTGAGTTTCAGAGATGAGTTTTCTGAGGAAATAACTTTAAGTCCCCTTAGCTTTTAGAAATATATTTTTTTCTAAGTCGGATCCTGGCAATTTTTTCACTAGTTATACTTAGATACACTAGTAATAGCAAATAAGTAATAAGTAAATAAGCTTAAAGAAATCATTTAACTTGGCTCCACATGGAAGAAATAGATTAACAGTTGAATCTTCCCAGACTCAGGTTAATAGAGTCCATGATTGATTGAGAATTTTCTCAGGCAAGAAGATCCAAATCTACTTGGTATGCTCAATTTTATACATGCCATGTTTTTAGAGTTCCCGGGAAATAGTCCTATTAACCTATGGCTCATTCACCTACACTCCCTTCAACTAAAAGGATGGACAAACTATAGTTTCGATATCCAGGAGCCTGTGATTAAATATATATAAACAGAGTAAGCTGCATTACCTGGAATCTGATCAAAGCAACTTAACCAGCCCCATCCAAATATAGACAAGTGAAATATTTCTTCTGGTTATAGAAACATAGCTTATTGTATTTGATCACGTAGCACCCTCACTTTCATTTTAAAGCAATTTTATTGAAGTATATTTTATATATCATAAAATTCACTAAATATCTACATAGCAAGGAATTTTCTCATTACCAGCACAGGTAAAATTATGTTCTGCTCTAGGCATAGAGAATTAAGGGTAGTTTAGACCATGCTATTCAGGTTCCAACTCTATCACCAGATTTGCTATGTTTACCCATCAGGCATCAAACATATTTTTTAACCTTCCTGTGCCACATGTTTGAAAAGAAAGAAAAAATAAGTATTGCTTTAGGGACTCCTTGGTTGTTGAGAGGGTTTAATGACTTAAAAAATCAGGTGTTAACAAGTTATCATATCTGCATTGGGATTTTTCACAGAACAAATACACATACATCTTAGCATAGAATAGGTCAGAATGTTACCAGTTATATTATAGATTCTTGAAGAACCTTCTAAAGTAAATTTTAATCAACTTGAAATATAAATTAAATTAGATTAGATTTAAAAACATATGTAGCTCTTCGAGAGATAAATAGATAAAGTAAGTATGACATACATATGGCTTTCCTATACTTAGCTTAAATGAGGAAATAATAAAAAAGCTTTCAAGGACCTAAGGTGGCAAGAACTATGATAGACGCTGGAGACGTGGCAATAAACCACATGTACGGGGGAATCTTCATGAAGACTGAAGTCCAGTGTAGGTTGAAGGCAAGTACAAACTAGAATAGGAAAATGCAAAGCAGATGATATATTGGATTGCACAATTATAACACATACACGGATATGTAACTTATATTCTGAAATTTTGATTATGTTGCTAAAGAAGAAATACAGCAGACAAATGAGGTAAATAGATGAATAAGGCAGAAAAGAGATTGCTGCAGGCTAAAATTACAGCTATCATATTGCAATAATTTATGTTGTTATTGAAAAGACAGAATAAGGGAGATTGGTATCACTTTTGGAAGATGGTATTTTCATTATGGTTGAGAACTGAGCTGAATTTTATCAATTGTGTAAAAGAAAAGAGGTAAGAACATGGGGCTGGCATTAATGAGTCTATGTACTCATGTCGATTTTAGTATTTATATTAATTTGTGTCTCATTGATACATATGAGTTAAAACCCCACATGGGAAATGACATCAAAGGGTCATGAAATGAAAAAATAATGGTAATATAATCTCACCAAATGGTAAAAATTATTGACAGATGCATTAAAGTGAAAGACATCCATTCATACAATGTAACAGTCCACTACTTAGGATTAATATATCATCTTCTTATTATTACTGTTTACAATAATGTTCTTCTCTGTAGCATTTTCTTCAGGGAAACATGGACATCTTTATTCCTCAGGCTATAAATCAGAGGGTTCAACATGGGCACAATAATAGTATAAAACACAGAGGATACTTTCCCCTGGTCCATGGAGCTGATTGAAGATGGCTGCAAGTACATGAATGCTGCAGATCCAAAAAAGATTACAACCGCCAACATGTGGGAGCTACAAGTGCTGAAGGCTTTGGACCTGCCCTCAGTGGAGCGAATGTGGAGGATGCTGGCAATAATAAAGATGTAAGAGCAAAGGATGGTCAGGCTGGGGACAAGGATGTTAAATGCACCAACACATAGAATAAGTAGTTTGTTGACATAGATACTAGAGCAAGAGAGCTTTAGGAGGGGAAGAAGATCACAGAAATAATGGTTAATCAAATCAAATTTGCAGAATTGAACCCTAAACATACAGCCTGTATGAACTGATGCACAAACCAGGCCTATTATATACACCCCTAAAATCAGAGAAAAGCAAGCCTTATTGGATATGATGACACTGTACAGCAAGGGGCTACAGATGGCCATGTAACGGTCATACGCCATTGCAGCCAACATGTGACACTCTGCAATAGCAAAAACGAGGAAGAAGTAGAGCTGAGTCATGCATTCAGGGTAGGAGATGATGTTCTTCTCTGTCACAAAGTTCACCAGCATCTTAGGGGTAATGACAGTGGAATGGCAGAAGTCAATGAAGGACAGACTGCTGAGGAAATAGTACATAGGGGTGTGCAGGTGAGAACTGAGCCAAATCAGTGTGGTCATGCCCAGGTTGCCCACCACTGTGACCACATAGATTCCTAAGAACAGGAGGAAGAGGGGCAGCTGGAGCTCTGGCTGTTCTGAGAGCCCAGCCAGAATGAACTCAGTCACTGAGGAATTATTTTCTCCTGACATCTCCTCCAGTCAGTTTCTGCAGGAAGAGAAAAAACAAAACAAAAAAACCCCATGGTTGTGGGAGGGACTTTATTATTCTTCATTGAGAAAAGGTTCCCAGATATTCATGCTTTAGGTATCCCCTTTGAGTAAGTAAAGTTTACCTCAAATAATATTTATTTAATCTTATTTTCAAATATAATAAATGTGTTTCATGTAAAATATTTTAGCCATTTTTATCATTGAACACTTTCTAAGTATCCCTTTCTTCTTTTAAATATTTCAGTGATTTTAAGCCAATATTTCTAAGTTTAGACTCACTAACTTAAATATTAATATAAGCCAATATAAATGAGTTGAACTCATGACAACTTGGAGAGAACAAACCTTGCCTAAGGATGGTAAACTTTAATTACCTGAAACTAATTTCTGGGAGGGGTGAACAGAGATATTACTGTCAGATTTTTCCATTTTTAATGTAATTATCAAGAAATCTCGATTTATACATAAAATTTTCATATTTTAAAATATTATTACTATGAAACAATCTCTATAACAATAATTGTATAAATTTAACACGAGCTGGACTGGCCCACAGTTATCTGGTTTATGGTCTCTGGACCAAGCACTTCTGCCATTATTTGAGGGAAGCTGTGTTAGTAGTGGTTAAATGGACAGGCCTTAAACTCAAAGTGCCTATGTTTGCTTTCTGACTCTATCATTTACTAATGATACCCGTGGATAAGTTAAATAACCCGTTTGTGTCTTGACTCCAAATCTGTGAAAGATAAATAAAAATATTACCTACCTATTAATAAAATTGGCAGACTTATTAATCAGAAAGTAAGCAAGATCATCATTGTATTTGTTACCTATTCATATCCTGTCAATTGGAAAATAAGCCATTTTACTCATTCAAATTACAGAAACAGATAAAAATACCTCCATTTTTTTTCTCTTCTTTTAACTTTTGTGAATTAGGAAGAAGTACAAAAAACAGGCATACATTTAGAATATATGGAATTTAAAATATAGTTATTTATTCTGTTAAACTATGATCAGGCAAATTACTCATTGCATGTGCCAAAGTAAAATTCCAAATGGCTTAGAGTTAAATTACAAAGAATATTATATATGGAAAACCTAAAAATGTATATCTTACTTCTATAAAAAAACTAAAATACAGATATAAACAGAAAGGCTAAACTATAAAATATCTGGAAGAAAATGCTAGAGAAATTCTTTGAGATTTTAAAATTTAAGCTTTCTTAGAAAGGATACACACACACACACAGACACACATAAACAAAACCCAAAGCAAACAAACAAAAAACCATACAAATACTTAATTTGTATGTCATCAAAATTAAAAGCTGTTCTTCAAAAGATAGTATTAAGAAAATGAGAAGGCAATTCTATGGAAATACATATATCTGAAAAAGGGCTTTTATTCAAAATATAGAAATAATATTTACAATTAATATGAAGGCAAGAAAATTTTAAAAACAGGAAAATATCCGAACAAATTCCTTACAAAAATATGTATGAATAGTCCTTAAGTATATGAAAATATGCTCAATGTCAGTCATCAAAGAAATGAAAGTTAAAACCATAGTGATACAGCTCTGCACACCTGTATTGGAATGGGTTAAATGAAACAACTCCAACAATACCAAATGTTGGTGTGAAGTAACTGGACTTATAAAATTTGGGGGAGGTGTAAAATTGTCCAACCACTTTGGAAAAGATGTTGGCAATTTAGTATAAATTTAAACAGACACTGTGCAATATAATAATTCTGCTCCTCAGTACTTACCCAAGAAAAATGTAAACGTTTGTCTACATGAAGATTTATACAAAAATGTTCATGACAGCCTTATTCATAAGAGCCCCAAACTGGAAAAAACCAAAACATTATCAACAGATGAATACATAAATGAGATGTAGTATACACCTATACTACAATTCTCTCTCCCTCTCTCTCTTCCTCTCTCTGTCTTATATGCACACACACATAAAATATTACTCTATATTTTAAAAGGAACATATCACAAATACATGCAATAACACAAATCTCAAAAACATATTTTTTGGAATAGATTGCCCCAAAATACCTTAAATGTTTGGAAGTATTCACCAGTATAGCAATCTAGACTTACGGTTTTCTCTCTGTGAGAATTTTTAGTAATGGATTGAATTTATTTAATAGATATTACTATTCAGATCTTATCTTTCTTCTCAACTTTCCTAAATTTAAATTTGAAAATGCTTGCCCACTTTGCAAATGATCAAATATATTGTATTCTTCTTCTTTTTTGGTAATTGTTTCTTTAACATCTAAACATAATTGTAGACTATGCAGCGATTTCTTTTTTCTGATTCCTAAAATCAGTAATTTATGGTTCCATTTTTGTCTCGATCAACCATTCTAGAAATTTTCCAATTGTATTACTCAAATAAAGTAAATTAACTTTTGGGTATGTTAATTTTATGAGTGATATATTTATTTCTACTTTAGTTGTTTCTAAAAACTTTATTATATTCTTTACACATTTCTTTAGTATGATTTCCTATTTTTTTCCCTAACCTCTTGAAGTGGAAGCTTGAATCAACAATTCAACTTTTATTCTTTTCTAATGTGTACATATAAGTTATAAATTTCCATCTGAACCCCACTTTAGCTGGATCTCGCAAGGTTTGGTATACAAAATTTATGATATTATTAAGTTTAAAATATTTTATAATTTTTGTTTCAGTTTTTTCATCGTTGCAAGGATTATACAGAAGTGAATTGTTATCATTACAGATGTGGGGCCTTTTTTTTTTTTTAGCTATTTCTTTCAAAAATACATCTATTGTAATTTCATTGTAATCAATGAATACAATCTGAATTATGTAAATCATTGCAAATTACTGAGACTTTATAGTACACCATATGGTCAATTTTTGTAAATATTTCAGTACATCTTAAAGAATATGTTGTCTGTCTTTGGAGGGTCATGTGATCTATATATTTCAATTATATCTAATGCATTAATTATGTTGTTTAGATTTTTCTTGTGCATAGTGTTTTTTTTCTCTTGTTTACTATTCCAATAGCTATTTAGTGAGGTATGTCAATGTCTCCCACTAAAATTTCTGATTTTTATACTTCTTCCTTTAATTGTTCAATCCTTGGATTTAACCCCTTATCAATTACGATTTAGTAATGTATCTTGCCTAAACTTTCCTTTTTCTGATAGTATATCATCACTGATAGTGTTTGCAAATCACATTATTCTCCATTCTCTTCCATTTGATCTTTAGGTATCTTTACATTAAAATGTATTTTTAAGAAGCTACAAATAAAATACAAATTTAAAAATAGTATCACGTAAAATAGCAATAAGCTAGCATCAAATACCTAGGAATAAAATTAACAAAATACATGCAATGTTTATAGAATGAAACTTCCAAATATTTCTGAGAGAAATTAAAGAAACTGGATCCCTCCCTTACACCTTATACAAAAATTAATTCAAGATGGATTAAAGACTTGAATGTTAGACATAAAACCATAAAAACCCTAGAAGAAAACCTAGGCATTACCATTCAGGACATAGGCATGGGCAAGGACTTCATGCCTAAAACACCAAAAGCAATGACAACAAAAGACAAAATTGACAAATGGGATCTAATTAAACTAAAGAGCTTCTGCACAGCAAAAGAAACTACCATCAGAGTGAACAGGCAACCTACAACATGGGAGAAAATTTTCGCAACCTACTCATCTGACAAAGGGCTAATATCCAGAATCTACAATGAACTCAAAACAAATTTACAAGAAAAAAACAAACAACCCCATCAAACAGTGGGTGAAGGACATGAACAGACACTTCTCAAAAGAAGACATTTATGCAGCCAAAAAACACATGAAAAAATGCTCACCATCACTGGCCATCAGAGAAATGCAAATCAAAACCACAATGAGATACCATCTCACACCAGTTAGAATGGCAATCATTAAAAAGTCAGGAAACAACAGGTGCTGGAGAGGATGTGGAGAAATAGGAACACTTTTACACTGTTGGTGGGACTGTAAACTAGTTCAACCCTTGTGGAAGTCAGTGTGGCCATTCCTCAGGGATCTAGAACTAGAAATACCATTTGACCCAGCCATCCCATTACTGGGTATATACCCAAAGACTATAAATCATGCTGCTATAAAGACACATGCACACGTATGTTTATTGCGGCACTATTCACAATAGCAAAGACTTGCAACCAGTCCAAATGTCCAACAATGATAGACTGGATTAAGAAAATGTGGCACATATACACCATGGAATACTATGCAGCCATAAAAAATGATGAGTTCATATCCTTTGTAGGGACATGGATGAAATTGGAAATCATCATTCTTAGTAAACTATCGCAAGAACAAAAAACCAAACACCGCATATTCTCACTCATAGGTGGGAATTGAACAATGAGAACACATGGACACAGGAAAGGGAACATCACACTTTGGAGACTGTAGTGGGGTGGGGGGAGGGGGGAGGGATAGCATTAGGAGATATACCTAATGCTAAATGACGAGTTAATGGGTCCAGCACACCAGCATGGCACATGTATACATATGTAACTAACCTGCACATTGTGCACATGTACCCTAAAACTTAAAGTATAATACTAATAATTTAAAAAAAAGAAATTCTTAATAAGGTTAAGAAGTTTTCCTATTCATAATTTAATGACTCAGTGTTGCAAAGATATTAATTCTCTCAAACTTATGGATAGACTCAACATAATACAGTTCCTGAACAGAACATCTAAACAGATCATCAATATGTTAAGACACCAACAAAGCACTGAAGGGATCATTGGCTACTTCTGGTAATCTCTTTAGATTTATGAAAAAAATTCAATTTAGCCCGATATGGGAGTAGAATTAAGATACTGGATCTCAATATGTTATATTGTACTCCAGAAACTCAAGGTGGTTATCATAAATGTGCTAGCCTTCACACTCCATACCATTTTCTCCTTGAATCTGTCTTCACTTAACATCCTTACATAGGATCAGTAATTGCCTTCCTTTCTAGGATGTAACTTGTTTCAAATCAGGGAACTTTTTTTGTCATAGCCAATGTTTCAGTTGCTCAATATAGATGTGCCATAGACATAGTTCATCTTTATTTTATACAGGCAGGTTGCACAGGCTCTCACAACATGCTCATGAGTAAGACCGAGTAACATGGCTCTGTTGCTTTACAGCCAGATGTAGGACATATTTAAACACAAACAGTGTTTATCAATTCAGGGATTTCCCAATATGGTTAATCATCAGAGTCACCTAGGGAGATCATAGTATTCATAAAAATTGATGAATGTAAAAATGTAAATATGATTATAATTAAAAATAAAAGTTCCTGAATCACCTCCCTATGTGCTTAGTCCTGTTCCCTAGAGACATCTTAGTCTTTGTAGAATAGTTCCAGTAAACATTTTGTTTCTAGTTCTTCTGAAGCTCTTCCCACCCTGCTTCTCCATCTCTCTCTCCCTCTCTCCATCCTTTCCTCATTCTCTCTCCATCTCTCTCTCCCTCTCTCCATCCTTTCCTCGTTCTCTCTCCATCTCTCTCTCCCTCTCCATCCTTTCCTCGTTCTCTCTCCATCTCTCTCTCCCTCTCTCCATCCTTTCCTTGTTCTCTCTCCATCTCTCTCTCCCTCTCTCCATCCTTTCCTCATTCTCTCTCTAGCTCTTTCTTTTGTTATTTTTTAATTTTTATTTTAAGTTCTGGGATACATGTGCAGAATGTGCAGGTTTGTTACATAGATATACATGTGCCATGGTGGTTTGCTGCACCTATTCTAGCTCGCTCTTTTATTCAGCCATCATTACTGAGAGACAAGGGGTCGAATACTGACCCGAAGCCAAAATGCATGAAAAGTAAAATGACACATTCCCTGCTTTAATAGAACTCTCAATCTAATTCTATCCTGTTAACAATGTTTTCAATAATTTAGTTAAGATTAAAATGGAAATGAGTGATCATTTAATGTACAGATAAAATAAAACTGGAAGAAATAGCCAATACAATGAATACGTGAATTGATTGTTTATACAACCCAACAGGACTGTGTTAAGAAGAAGAGAAATACTGTTGTAGAGACTTGATACTAAGTCTAATATTCACCATAATAAGGGATGATGTGTCAATTATTTCAATAACTGAAGTAAAGTTAGAGAGGCATGCAACTTTTGAATGGTTTCCCGAACGAATTCAGAGCTATTCTGTTATATATACATTTAAAAATGTATTTTCTATTATTTATGTGTCCTCATGTGATCACTATAGGATCAATATGAGGCTCTGAAAAATACTTTACATGTACACAAAATATAGTCTTCTGTTAATACAAGAACAAATAAAAAATATAGGGCTCCTGGTCTATTATGTTTACTCCTGCGTGTTAAAAATTGGGTATATATGACAGTAGCAATAAAAGGTCTGACCAAAGCCAGCTAAGTAGGGTTATAAATTATATAATATCAAAGAATAAGGTAAGGTCACTGAACATCATGAATATCAAAAGCATTTTTCTCTACTTTTTTAGTCATTTACGTTTTTGATTACTTTAATTGTAATCATCATAGTAGGGATTACAGCTGGGAAGAGTTCTATGGAATTAAACTGTGAAACTTTCTTTTTGTGAGTTATACATGGATTTGGGAATTGACAATTCCCCATGGTATGGTCTACACACACCCTTTGGTTAACAATATTCCCAAGTTACTGTAACTTCAGTCCTAAAATATTATGACAACCAGCAAAATGTGGTTGGTTCTAGACACTGAAAATAGCTAAAAAAAACAAGCTAAAATTGAGTGAGAAAAATACTTAACTTCCAGTCTTAGTTTAAATGATTAATTCTTTATGTACAACATATCTGGTTTGAATACAATTCATAAGAAAACATAAAAGTGTACTTCTGTATTAACTAAATGAAGTCCATAGAATAGTGGATGATGGATAAAGCAAGGGGAGATTCAGATTTCATTTATAAAAAAAATAATGGCTAGACTATGATGACTAGCAATCCATGTAAGATCTGTAACATAGCTTCCAACTCATATGCCATGGAACTGAAATGTAGGGAAAGGTTCATAATGGTTCAGAGGTATTGGTCTGTAGCCCTCGGGTTCTCACAGATAAGACTGTGGCATTCAGAGCCAGTTCACTGGTCACCATCAGCCACAAGCTTTCTCATCCAGTAACTTCATTATGCCATATTAATATGACCATCTTCTATGTGCTCATGAGGTTAGAAAGCACCATTCCACACTTATCATATTACACCTGGAGTCCATCGTTTTCCAATGGATATATTTTTAAAAGAAAGACATTGATAAGATGGAAGGCACACAAAAGCTGTCAAGAGCTTGGGAAATATTTGCAGGCAATGAGATAATTAGTGAGCATTTTCATGTATCCTAAGAAGAGCAAGGATAAGCTTTAATTTTGTGTGTGGCATTTGAAAGATTTATGAATACATCTTTTAATAAATGTAACTAACCTGCACAGTGTGCACATGTACCCTAAAACTTAAAGTATAATAATAATAAAAATATATAAATAATTTACTACTGAAAAAAAATAAAAATAAATGTAAAGGAAAATATTCTAGTATTTGAGTTCTTAGAAGTTGAATGAGCTACTTATTCCTGGTCATAAAATACACTGGACCAGAAATCAGATGATGATTCACTTTCAGGGACACTGATGAACAGGTTGCCTTAATTACACTTAGGATAAAGTACACAGATTCATGCTATCTCTTGTCCCTCTTCACTTTTAGTTCCTGTGATCCTCCTCCTTGGCTACAGGAACACTTCGCTTCTTTCAGTTCCTAGAGTCTGTCACATTCACTGAGCCTTTTCATTAGCTATTTCTTTTACATTAGATAGTCTTACCAACACCTGTCTTTCTGATGTCTGGTAAATATTTACTTTTCAAATCTCATTTAAAATGAAGTCATCATGTAAATATTGTCCAGTTTATTGTAATTAAGTTGATCTTCCTACTGTAAGCTCCAAAAACTCTGATTTCCAGACAGCACATTTTCTTTGACTGAGTTATTCTATAAGCCCAGTGATGGACCCGAGCTATTCTCCTCTGTATCTCTAGTAACTAGCAAAGTGGCTGGCCCACTGAAGAGGGTTTAAAAGAGCATTTCATAAATAATTGAATAAGTAAAGATAATGAGGAATAATAGTTTCCTGATTTTTTGCAAAGATTATTTCCAGATCTAATAGTCTCAAATCACAAGTGATGGATGAAAACACTCACCTTTCCACTGCCTAAAAACTTCAATGCTTGATTTTACTTGCAATTTCCTCTTCCTGACATGGAGAATGTTGGCTTGGAATGTTCTCTTCCTGACATGGCATTAATGTTGGTGTTGAGAGTCATAGACACCCAGCATTCTGGAATCTTTAGTGTTGAGAGGGCAGGGCCCAGCCCTCAGTCTCAGAGTCACTTTGAAGCTGGTCTGCATCACAGGTCAGTATTTCTAATTATGACTTTGCAGTTTTTGTTTCTCCAGCTTCAGGGTGGCAAGCATCCTCACCTGAGCAGCTCTGATTGCTGTGCTATAAAGGCTTGCCCTGGGTTAAGATATGCGAGGTACCAAAAAACATGGAGACAAATACTCTCCCGGGATTTCCATTTCTCAGGGACCAAATTCTTGGAAAAAACCAGCAATTACACTTGACATTTCCCCAGTTGTCTAATTTTCCTGTAAACGAATTCCCTGTCAATTTTAAAATTGTCAATTGGTGGTAAATATTTGTGCACAAGGATTATCTCTGCTAAAATGCAGATTCTAATGCAATAGGTCTGAGTGGAGCTTGAAATTCTGCATTTCTTACATGCTTCTAATGTAATTTAGTTCACAGCACACACTGTGATTAATATACTTGAGAGGACTAGGCACATCCTGACAAGTTATCTTGTACTGATAATAAAGTTAAAAACTTTAAAATAACACACTTTTTATTTCCTTGCAAATAGACATATTTAGTTTTAATTTGTGTGTAAATAGGTAATTTATATAGTTGACTGAAAATTCAAATCTGTTTATAATTGTATTTCAGGAAGCATGGTGTAATAATTTAGGGATTGATATAATACTTAATTTTTGAGTTTCTTTGTTGATTTAAATTCTGCCTCCTAATTTTTATAACTGAAGAAAGTATTTAAGTTTTGGAGAAGTTAGTTTCCATATAAGTCCATATAAGTGCCCCACTTCTTACTTTTTATGGTTTTTCACTTTCTTCAAAATAAAATTAGATGAAATTTTATATTGAATGTGCATCAAATAAATGAAGGAATTGAAAAAGACTATATGGGAAGTTACATATTAGAAGCTCTGAAAAATCGTACAAAACACTAGGTTTGATTGTCTTTAAAGAGAATGAAGTAGGTCTAGATCAGTGATTTTACTATGGCTGCACATTTAAAATCAACAAGGAGTTTTTTTTCATAATCTCATCCTAGATTACAGCCCATGGCACATTGGACAATAAGCAGGCAGCACAAATTAGAATAGTAAAAGGCAAAGCAGTGGGCATACTGGAGTGTACAATCACAACACACACGTGGGTCTGCAACTTTGACTCTAAAGTTTTGAATAGGTTTCTGAAGTAAAAAAAAAAAATAATGGAAGAAATAAGGAAGACAAGTTTAGTTAGTTGAATCGGGCAGAAAAGAGACTGCTGCAGGCTAACATTGTGCAAAAACTAGAGATTACAACTAACACATTGTCATGATTTCTGTTATTTTTTGAATGGAAAGAATAAATGAGGTTGGTATCACTGTTGGAAGATGATATTTCCATTATGGTTGGAGACTGAGCTGAGTTTTTATCAACTGTGTATAATAAGAGAGGTAAGGGGGCAGGGATAGCATTAATTGATCTATGTATCCATGCTATTCTTAGTTTTTCTTCTAATTTGTGTCTCAATAATGCATATGACATAAAACCCCACATGGGAAATAGCATCAAAAGATGATGAGAAGAAGAAATAATGGTAATACAATCTCACCAAATGAGAAAAAATATTGACAGTTGCACTAAAATGAAAGACATCCGTTCATACAGTGTAACAGTCAACCACTTAAGTTTAATAAACCATCTTTTATTTCTGTTTACAGTAATGTTCTCTGCAGCATTTTCTCCAGGGAAACATTGACATCTTTATTCCTCAGGTTGTAGATCAGGGTGTTAAGCATTGGCACAACAGTAGTGTAACACGCAGAGGACTGGATACTTTCCATTACTACTCGGAGCTGACAGATGATAGCTACTGGTATATGAATATTGCAGACCCTAAAAGACCACATCCACCACCATGTGAGAGCCATAAATGCTAAAGACTTTGGAATTTCCTTCAGTGGAGCAAATATAGAAGATGCTGGCAATAATAAAGACGTAAGAGCTAAGGATGGTCAGGCTAGGGACTAAGATGTTAAATGCATGAACACACAGTATCAGTAACTTGTTAACATAGGTACTAGATCAAGAAGCTTAAGGAGAGGAGGAAAATCACAGAAATAATGATTGATCACATCAAATTTGCAGAATTGAACCCTAGACATGCAGCTGTATATTTGTATAAGCTGATGAACAAAACTGGGCCAATTATATAACACCTGTGAAAAATAATGTATTTTGATAGGGATAGCATGGAATCTGAACATTGCTTTGGGCACTTGCATGACTAGAACATGCATATACCAAACTTTAGCATCACACAATATAACCACATAATGACCCTATAATGTACCCCTGAATCCAAAATAAAGATACATAAATAAAATAATAATATAACACCCAAAATCGGGGGGAAAACAGGCCTGATAGGGCATGACGACAATATACAGCAAGGGGCTACAGATGGCAACGCAGTGGTCATACGCCATTGCAGCCAACACGTGACACTCTGCAATAGCAAAAATGAGGAAGAAGTAGAGCTGAGTCATGCATACAAGTAGGAGATGATGTTCTTCTCTGTCACAAAGTTCACCTGAAGAACAGACTGTTGAGGAAATAGTACATGGGGGTATGCAGGTGAGAACTGAGCCCAATCAATGTGATCATGCCCAGGTTCCCCAGTACTGTGACCATATAGATTCCCAGGAAGGCAAGGAAGAGGGGCAGCTGGAGCTCAGGCTCTTCTGTTAGCCCAACCAGAATGAACTCAGTCACTGAAGAATAATTTACTGCTTCCATTTTTTTCTGAGTAGTTTGTAAAGCGGCAAAAAAAGACATAGTATTTAGAGACACATCTTTGTTGTCCCTCAGTTTTTAAAGGTATCCCATATAGAAAATTATTGGTTTAGGTATCACTGTATTACTCTGTTTTCACACTGCTATGAATAAATACCCAAGACTGGGTAATTTGTAAAGGAAAGAGGTTTAATTAACTCACAATTTTGTATGGATGGGGAGGCCTCAGGAAACTTACAATCATGGTGGAAAGTGAAGGAGAAGCAGGTACCGTCTTCACAAGGCAGCAGGAAAAGAGGGAGGGAGAGCAAAGGAGGAACTGTCAAACACTTATAAAACCGTTAGGTCTCATGAGAACTTACTCAGTATCATGAGAACAGCATGGGGGAAACTGCCCCCATAATCCAATCACCCCCCAACCTGGTCCCTCCCTTGACACATGGGGATTACAATTCTAGATCGTATTTTGGTGGGGACACAAAGCCAAACTATATCAATCACCTTGGTTTCCATATAATAATTTTAACTCTAGATAGATTTACCTAAGTGATATTTGTGTTTTTTAAATGTTCTTTACATCTTAACCTAAAACATATCAAATTATTTTATAAAAAATATTTTAGTCATAATTTTAATCATTCTAAATCATTGAAGTATCTATTTTCTATTTTGAACACTTCAGTGATCCTTATAAACATCAGTTTTTCTTTTTATTTTATTTTATTTTATTATTATTATACCTTAAGTTTTAGGGTACATGTGCACAATGTGCAGGTTAGTTACGTATGTATACATGTGCCATGCTGGTGTGCTGGACCCATTAACTCGTCATTTAGCATTAGGTATATCTCCTAAAGCTATCCCTCCCCCCTCCCCCCACCCCACTACAGTCCCCAGAGTGTGATGTTCCCCTTCCTGTGTCCATGTGTTCTCATTGTTCAATTCCCACCTATGAGTGAGAATATGCGGTGTTTGGTTTTTTGTTCTCGTGATAGTTTACTGAGAATGATGATTTCCAATTTCATCCATGTCCCTACAAAGGACATGAACTCATCATTTTTTATGGCTGCATAGTATTCCATGATGTATATGTGCCACATTTTCTTAATCCAGTCTATCATTGTTGGACATTTGGATTGGTTCCAAGTCTTTGCTATTGTGAATAGTGCTGCAATAAACATACGTGTGCATGTGTCTTTATAGCAGCATGATTTATAGTCCTTTGGGTATATACCCAGTAATGGGATGGCTGGGTCAAATGGTATTTCTAGTTCTAGATCCCTGAGGAATGGCCACACTGACTTCCACAAGGGTTGAACTAGTTTACAGTCCCACCAACAGTGTAAAAGTGTTCCTATTTCTCCACATCCTCTCCAGCACCTGTTGTTTCCTGACTTTTTAATGATTGCCATTCTAACTGGTGTGAGATGGTATCTCTGATGCAAAAATCCTCAATAAAATACTGGCAAACCAAATCCAGCAGCACATCAAAAAGCTTATCCACCATGATCAAGTGGGCTTCATCCCTGGGATGCAAGGCTGGTTCAATACATGCAAATCAATAAATGTAATCCAGCATATAAACAGAACCAAAGACAAAAACCACATGATTATCTCAATAGATGCAGAAAAGGCCTTTGACAAAATTCAACAACCCTTCATGCTAAAAACTCTCAATAAATTAGGTATTGATGGGACGTGTCTCAAAATAATAAGAGCTATCTATGACAAACCCACAGCCAATATCATACTGAATGGACAAAAACTGGAAGCATTCCCTTTGAAAACTGGCACAACACAGGGATGCCATCTCTCACCACTCCTATTCAACATAGTGTTGGAAGTTCTGCCCAGAGCAATCAGGCAGGAGAAGGAAATAAAGGGTATTCAATTAGGAAAAGAGGAAGTCAGATTGTCCCTGTTTGCAGATGACATGATTGTATATCTAGAAAACCCCATTGTCTCAGCCCAAAATCTCCTTAAGCTGATAAGCAACTTCAGCAAAGTCTCAGGATACAAAATCAATGTACAAAAATCACAAGCATTCTTATACACCAATAACAGACAAACAGAGAGCCAAATCATGAGTGAACTCCCATTCACAATTGCTTCAAAGAGAATAAAATACCTAGGAATCCAACTTACAAGGGACGTGAAGGACCTCTTCAAGGAGAACTACAAACCACTGCTCAATGAAATAAAAGAGGATACAAACAAATGGAAGAACATTCCATGCTCATGGGTAGGAAGAATCAATATCGTGAAAATGGCCATACTGCCCAAGGTAATTTATAGATTCAATGCCATCCCCATCAAGCTACCAATGACTTTCTTCACAGAATTGGAAAAAACTACTTTAAAGTTCATATGGAACCAAAAAAGAGCCCGTATCACCAAGTCAATCATAAGCCAAAAGAACAAAGCTGGAGGCATCATGCTACCTGACTTCAAACTATACTACAAGGCTACAGTCACCAAAACAGCATGGTACTGGTACCAAAACAGAGATACAGATCAATGGAACAGAACAGAGCCCTCAGAAATAACGCTGCATATCTACAACTATCTGATCTTTGACAAACCTGAGAAAAACAAGCAATGGGGAAAGGATTCCCTATTTAATAAATGGTGCTGGGAAAACTGGCTAGCCATATGTAGAAAGCTGAAACTGGATCCCTTCCTTACACCTTATACAAAAATTAATTCAAGATGGATTAAAGACTTAAGCATTAGACCTAAAACCATAAAAACCCTAGAAGAAAACCTAGGCATTACCATTCAGGACATAGGCATGGGCAAGGACTTCATGTCTAAAACACCAAAAGCAATGGCAACAAAAGACAAAATTGACAAATGAGATCTAATTAAACTAAAGAGCTTCTAGAAACTACCATCAGAGTGAACAGGCAACCTACAAAATGGGAGAAAATTTTCGCAACCTACTCATCTGACAAAGGGCTAATATCCAGAATCTACAATGAACTCAAACAAATTTACAAGAAAAAAACAAACAACCCCATCAAAAAGTGGACGAAGGACAAGAACAGACACTTCTCAAAAGAAGACATTTATGCAGCCAAAAAACACATGAAAAAATGCTCACCATCACTGGCCATCAGAGAAATGCAAAACATCTGTTTTTCTAAGGTGATATTTACAGGCTTAAACTTAGAGAAGCCAGTGAAAATGATGGAAGCTGGCTGAGCAGCCACTCAGAAAGAGCAGCCCCAGATTCAATGCAGTATCCTTTATTAACTAGCAGCTAAGATCAACCGAGGTTCACAGAGACACATTACTGGAACATCTTTGGAGTTTTTAAATGATAATCAGCTAATTTGAATTTTTCCAGAAATCTTCAGATTTCACAACTGCTATTAAAATGAAACAGCACCAGAAGTACTCGGTTCAGAGCTACTAGCTGGAGTGTCCCACCGTTGGAGAGTTTGTGGCTCTTGGGTCAGATGATTTTTCTTTGCTTGAGAAAAGATGTTTACATAGTGTTAACTAAGCAAGACTCAAAGTCTAAGTGCCTGTTTTCATATTCTGCCCCCATGATTTACTAGCTAATAAGCTTGGGCAAGTAAAATAACATCATCTAATTAGTAATATTTAGCACTCTGAAAATAACAACAGTAATAATTGTTGTAACTTACAACAATCATCAGTTAGAAATTATGGGGCAATTACAAACTTGCAAATACAGAACCAACAATCATAATGTTTAAACTCTTCCCTTCATCTTTTTTCATTCGCTACCTAGGAGGGTGTGAAAGGCAGTCATAAAATAAGGGATAATGAATTATAAATGCAGTCCCTTATTATGTCAAGCAGTAAACACATGATTTTAAAAATCACTTCATGTGTCAAAGTAAAATTCCAAATATATTATACCTGAATTTAAAAAAGGAGGATCAAAAAATCTAAAATGTTCTACTCACACCTAAACAAATAATCAAAAAAACTTGAAATAAATCTTAAAACTAAGCATAAATACTAAATTATTAAACTTGTGAGGAAAAAAAAAACACTGAAGAAGATCTTCATTACTGGAGTGTCTAGGATTTCTTGAGAGAATACCCTCATACAAGCAAACTACCTATACAATATTGATAAATTATATTTTATCCAAATTAAAAAATACTCTTCAAAAGGCACCATTAAAAAATTAAGAGTAAGCCACAGACAATACATTTGTCCAACTGTGTACTATCATCTAAAATTTGTAAATAATGTTGACCAGATGATAATATAATAAATTAAAAAATAAGAAAACTATCTGAACAGATATATCATAGAAAACATACAAGTAGTTAATAATCACATAAAATGATACTAAAATCATTATTTATCAGGGAATTGAAACTTAAACCCATAATAACTACCAGTACACACACACATACGCTGAAATGACTAAAATATAAAAAAGAAAAAATAAAGAGAAAAACACAAACTAACAATCAAACAAAAACTTACAGTACTAATGTTTGACCAGGACATGGAGCAACTAGAGCTCTCATTCCTAGCTGGTGAGAAGGGATATAACATTGTCCAAACACTTTTGAAAACTCTTTGGCAACTTGAGAGAAAATTAATTCTATACATAGAAGATAACCAAACAATTCTATTCCTCAATATTTATGTACATAGAAACTTTATTACTAGCATCTCCAACTGAAAACAACCCGATTATTCAATCAATGAACAGATAAATGAATTATGGTATATGCATAGAATGGAACACTACTCATCAATAACAAGGAATCAATCACAGATACATGCAATGATGTGGATTACTCTTGAAAAGGTCATGTTGAGCAAACAGAACAAGACATGAGTACACATTGTGCAATACCATTCATATAAACCTGTAGAACAGCACAATTAATCTGTGGTGCTAGAAGGTCAGAGGCTGACTCTAGAAGAATATAGGAGATTGGGAAGGGGCATGGGAACCTTTGGGATGATGAAAATGTTTCAGTAATGAAGTGTTAGTTTCACCAGTGTATAGTATATGCATTGGTCAAACTCATTTAGTTTGACACATGACTTTTACACTTTAAATGGATGCTTTCATTCTTGATGTAATCTTGATAAACTTATATCTTTATATAATCCCTATTAAATATGAAATTAATAATTAATCTTTATTTTAAAATGTATATAACACAAATCAGCAAAGATAAAGAATACTTGAGCAAGATTCATAAATGTGAATATCTACCTACCTATATATACTTATCATCTCACATCAGTCAACAACTAGATATTATACTTTTTGAGACCATATGAAACCTTTACAGAATTACTTATATGCCAGAGTATTTATTTTCTATATTCACAAAAAAAGGTAATACATAATTTTCCATTCTTGTAATTTTTTTAAAAACTGAATTTGTAAAAGATTAGAAGATATTCTCTTTCTAAATCTGGAATAGTTGGCATAAAAATTACCTTAAATGTTTGGAAGTATTCACTAGTGAAGTGATGTAGATCTTTGACATTCTTTTTGTTTAGATTTCAAGTAACAGATTAAATTTCTTAAATAGCTATCAATTATTCAGATTTTGTCTTTCTTTTCAACTCTTTTAAACTGATACTTCAAGACATTTACCCATTTTGAAAATTACTAAATGGTTTTCATACTATTTTTTTCACTTTTTAAAATATTTGTGGGGTATGCAATCTTTTCTATTTCTTTATTCCAGAAATCAGATATTTATAGTTTATTTTTTCTCTTGATTATTCATGTTAGTAGTTTTATTAATAAATTTTATTAAAAATTTTACGTTACATTGATTTTATGAATTTTGTGTATATTTTATATTTAAACTATTCTTAACAATTTTATTATTTCATTTTCTTTATAGATTTTTTGGTTTGCTTTCCTTTTTCCTAAATTCTTTAAATAAAGCTTAAATGATTATCCCAATCATCCTTCTTTTTTGAACATATACATATAAGGTATAGATTTCCTCAAAGGCACCTCTTTAGCTGCATCTTACATGTTTTAATGTTTTAAATTGTAACTATAATTTAGTTTAAGTATTTTTTCAATTATTTTTGTCCTATATTTAAAATGTATTTTAAATGTATTATTTTTATATTTTAATATATAAATGTTATATATTTGAAAAAATACGTTATTAAGTTGTAGAAAATTAGGCTTCAAAAATATTTTAATTTTATTGTGGTCAATAAACACATATTATTTACTTTTTGAAAGTTGTTGTAGTTTTATAAATCTTACAATATATGATCCATTTTTGTGAATGTTTCAAATGCATTTGAAAAAATGTTTTTTGCTCTTTCAGAGTTGTTTGGTCTATATATGTGAGTTACATGTAATTCATTATTGTGGTTTTCATATTTTACATCCATAGTGGTTTTATTTTTGGTCTTCTGTTTGAAGAGTTATTGACAGGCCGAGTGTGGTGGCTCATGCCTGTAATCCCAGCACTTTGGAAATCCGAGGCAGGTGGATCACGAGGTCAGGAGATCGAGACCATCCTGGCTAACACAGTGAAACCCCGTCTCTACTAAAAATACAAAAAATTAGCCGGGCGTGGTGGCGGGCACCTGTAGTTCCAGTTACTCGGGAGGCTGATGCAGGAGAATGGCGTCAACCTGGGAGGCGGAGCTTACAGTGAGCCGAGATCGTGCCTGGGTGACAGGGCGAGATTCCGTCTCAAAAAAAAAAAAAGAGTTATTGACGGAGGAATATATATTAAAGTATCCCACAAATATTTGATTTGTCTATTTCTAAATATATTTCATAATTTTTACAAAATTTTGGGGCCGTATATATATATTTCTATATAGCTTTGGGTCATATAGAAATTTAGGGTTCTGAGATCTTTGTTTTAGGTAATCTTGGACTGAACCATATATCATTATGGAATGTTTCCCTAATATATAGTAATGCATCATGCTTTAAGTTTCTATGCCTATTATTAGAATATCAAAGCCATTTTTACTTGGTTAGTGCTTGCATAGCATATCACTTTCAATTCTTTGCTTTTGAACATTTCTATGTCTTCATATTAAAATATATCTTTTTAAGATGCAACAAATACAAATAAAAGATTTTTTAAAAATCACGTCACTTAAAATAGCAATAATTTGGAATCAAATACCTAGAAATAAATACACCAAATTGTATTATGTCTGTATATTGAAAACTATAAATTATTAAAAAATGTAAGAAAATCTTAATAATAGGAGATATTTACCATGTTCGTGAATTAGAAGACTCAATACTATGAAGATATCAAGTCTTCCCATATTCATCTATACATTCAATGTGATCCAAATCGAAATTTTGTAGAATTTTTAGTGGATTGCCATAAATTTCACATGGAAATGCATATAGCCCAAAATATCCACAACAACCTTGAAAAACAAAGCTGTATAAATCACGCTATCATATGTTATTGGCACATTATAAGACAAGATGGTGTCTTATTGGTGTAAGGATAGATTAGTAGAGCAAAATTTAGAATTCAAAACCAGATTTATATACATATCCAGATATCTGATTTATGACAATGGTGACCCCATCATGAAGTGACTAGACCAGTGTTTCAATAAATGAAACTTGTAATAGACTATCAATCTAAATAGCCTGTGAAGGATGAGCTTTTATGCTGTATATTCCTTACTCCTTATATCTGAACCAACTTAACATCCACATATGGAATCAGTAAATGCCTTCCTTTCTGAATTCAGTTTGTCTGAACTCAAAGGAATTTTATGTCAAAGCCAATGTTTAAGTTACTTAAGATGGATATGGCATAGGTACAGCTCATCTTCAAATTATACAGGCAAGTGGCACAGGCTCTCATAACATGTTTGTGGATAAGCTATAGTTATGTGGGCTAGTTGCTTTACAGTCAGATGTAAAAGAACATACTTGAACACAGAGGGTTAATTAACTCAAAGATTTCCAGATATGGCTGATAATCAGCATCATCTAGGGAGATAATAGTATGTACAAAAATGAATGTAAAACTCTTACCATAATTATAACAAACCCCCAAAATTCCTGTGTTACCTTCCCTATGCTCTTAGTCCTATTCCCCAAAGACAGCTTTCTCTCTATAGAACAGCTCCAACAAAGAGCTTCTGTTTCTAGTTCTTCTGAAGGCTACCCCCATACCTCTACATAATTTCCTCATATTGCTTTTTTTCAGAATTATCAACTTTGAACATTAACTCGACTTTCTAATATATGTGGAGTTACTTTAGTTAAATCATTACCACCACCTACCCTCTCTTCCAATATTTATCTTGTATTTCATTTTCATTCCTCTTTCACTTGCTTCTGGAAATGTAAAAATATTCTCAAAACTATTTATTCATCAATTTTCAAAGTTTTCTCAACTCATCTAGAGAAATTCCCAATACAGACTTCTTAATCCAAGAACAGAACTAGTGATTAGATCATTTTAAAGATCTAAATGTTCAAAAGTCAAAATAATTTAAAGCAAGAAAACAAAGTATCAACTAATTGTGATGAATAGCTAACTGTGGGAATGATAGGATTAAGAAACCAAAGTCAAAGTAGTTGCCTGCTTCAAGTGAAGAGCTTGAGAACCTCTATCTTTTCTCTTCTAGTCTTCATTTTCTTCCTTCTATCCTTTCCTTCCTCCCTACCTTCTTTCCTTACTTTTCTTGATTCATCTCTTCCTGTCTTTCTTTCTTCTGTTTTTTCTTACCTTAATTGTAAAGATAATACTTGTGAATACAACTAGAAATAAGCAGTTGAGACTTCAATTCTTTGTGAAATTTTCCTTTGCTCATTTAAGCTTGCACTTGGAGATTGCTAATCCCCCATGGTAAGTATGTTGCACACCAAGTGGCCAACAAAACCTCTCATGTTACTGTAATCTGGGCCCAAAAAGACTACACCTACTGGGCAAGTAGATCCAGGCCCAAAACAGCTAAAACAAATAAGTTGAAATTTAGCAGTGCAAAGATTTAAATTCTAAATTTACTTTAAAAAAACAATTTTTTTGCATACTGTATATGTTTTGGGTGCAACTCACATGAAAAAAACAGGGCTGAGTTTTTCGTTAACTCATTAAGCCAATAAAGTAAATGGTTGGTTAATAAATTGGTTTGTTTTAGATTGCAATTATATGAATATATTATCTAGAATATGATGGGCAATAATCCACATAAAAGCCATAACAAGTCCATAACACGAAGACTCCGTAAATAATAGGGAGTCCGTAAGTAACAGGAAGTCCATAACAGGGAGACTCAAGTCTTCCTGACATGAGTTCTATGGAACTGGAATACCGTGAGTGGAACATAACTGTGCTAAGTTCTTGTGCCACAGAAATATTACCATTTTCTATGTGTGCAATGAAGCTGGGAAGCACTCTGCTACACTTACATTATATTTAAAGTTTTGTTTTTATTATTAATGTCCTTTGTAAGGAGGGACATAGACAAAATGAAAGGGACACAGAAGCTGTGAATAACTTGGAAATATTCAAAGGTAATAGGATAATTAGCGTGCGTTGTCTTATATCAAAAGGGAATCAAAAGGGAAGAAAACTTCTTTCATATGCGGTGTTTGGAATATTGAAGGCTGTGTCTTTTACTAGATATGAGGGAAAGGTTCTAACAATTTGAGTTCTTAAAAATGGAACTAGGTACTTTTCCTAAATCATACAATACACTCATCTATAAAACAGAGGAAAATCTACTTTTGGGGACACTGAAAAAACGGATCTTCTTCACTGTTTTTAAGATAAAGAATGAATATACCTACTACCTCTTTCTATTCTCCAGACCTAGTTCACATCTGCTTCCTTCCAGTTTCTGGAATATACCATATCATCTTAGAAATCTGAATCTTTATTTATGCTTTCTTTCAGGTTAAATAGTCTTACTAAATCCTATCCCTCAATTGCCTGGTGAAATTTTATTTCTTCTAAGTGTCATTTAAAAATTACACCATCGGAAAAACATTTCCAATTTGTTGGGATAGATTAGACCTTCTGAATACAAGCTTTCCTCCTCGCCCTCGCCCTTGCCCGCCCGCTCGCCTGCCTGCCTGCCTGCCTGCCTGCCTGCCTGCCTTCCTTCCTTCCTTCCGACTTGGTCTCACTCAGTTGCCCAGGTTAGAGCAGGGCAGTGGTGTGATCATGCTTCATTGCAGCCTCGCCCTGGTTGAACCTGGCTAAATCTACCCTTCCACCTCAACTTCCTGAGTAGCTGGGACTACAGATGTGCACCACCATGTCCCGTTATTTTCTTTTTCTTTTTTTTTTTTTTTTTGTAGAGATGCAGTTTCGCCACGTCACCTAGGCTACACCACCTATCATTTCTAACAGTACAACTTGAGACTGTGAGCTGTACTATAAGCCAGAAGACAGACCAACTCAAACTTATCTTCCTCTTTATCCAAAGTAAGAGTACAGTGTCTGGAACATCAAAGGCACTTTAAAATATTTTATGAATGAATGAATGTATAAAGCAGGATGTTTAACTGGATTTTTACAGCAATTACCTCCAGACCTAATAGTCTCAAATCACAAGTGTGAGCAGAACACCACAGTCACCTTTCCTCTGCTTGAAAACTGCAATGCCAAATTTTACTCATAACTTATTCTCTTCAATTTGGAGAACAATTACACTAGTGTTGGTGTTGAGAGTTGTATGTACTCAGTATTCTGCTATCTTTAATGCTGAGAGGGCAGGGCACAACCCTTTGTCTAGTCTCAGAACCACATTTGAAGTTGGTCTGCATCACAGGTCAGCCTCCACAATTGTAACTTTTCAAGTTAGGTTTCTCCAGCATCAGGGTAGCAAATATCCTCACCTTTGACAGTTATGATGGTCTGATGGATGTGCTATAAAGATATATCTTAGATTTAGATATGACAACATAGAGACAAATACCCTCAAGATTTCAATTTCTCAGAGAAATAAGTTTTTGAGAAAAGACGCAGTTACGTTTGGCATTTCCTCAGTAGCATAAGTTTTTCATTCACGTCCATCTGTCTTCCATATTGACATATGTGACATTATTAGCATGCAAAACTAATTGTGTTCACTTTCCTGCTTAAAAACTTCTAGCAGTTCCCCACACTAAAATGAGGAGTGATGTCTTATAATGATCAGGGTTGGTTCATGAACTGTTTCTGCCTCCTCTCTATCCTTGTAGCATGATTGTATTACCCTGAATATGACATCCCTTCTGGGGCTGCACAAGCTTCTGCCATTTCCTTAATGAGACTGCCACCTTTTAATTAGTCTGTATTTTCTATATGAGCTCAAGCCCCAGTGATTCAAAGGTCTATGCAACAGCACGCTTTTTGTTGGTCCCCATTTCACTTATTTGCATATATGACAATGTGTTGGACAGAGCACTGGACTCAGAATCATGCCTAACACAAGAGTTGTAATTGTGGCCAACTTCCCTTACATTATATAAATGATGAAAATTGAGGGAAATAATGTGAGAGGAACTCTGAGAATGAATATCTGATTGCAATGAATAACGGAATACAAGGGAGATAAAAATATATAGGTTTGTCCTATACTTAGAAACTATATAGTCAACATTGAAACTTCTTATATCAGCTGAATAATGCAAAACAGCATCCAAAGACTATTGACCTGCCAACAATGAGTAGGAAAGTTTGAACTGGGGAGAGACACAAGGCAATTATTTAGAATATCATGGAAATTCACACTTACAAGATGTTAAATTCTGAGAAGCAGAAAGATAATAACCTGGGGGCCAAGAAGATTTTTTTAAAGAAAATTGATATAAAATGACAATGGTTTGTAAATTATAAGGCAAAAAAGTATGAACCACATGGAAACAATGCAACTTAGAAGAATTTACGGCTGTCATGAGTTGCCTCATAAACAGCCAAAGCATTACTGACATAAAGATGAGGCAATGTTGTGTGGGTTGTTTTTATACAAAATTGTTGCTATCAAGTATAATAATATTATAAATATCTATAGTGTATGTCTATAATAAAACCATAATAATTTTCTGGTTTTGATCTATTTTTCATTGATCAATACAAATTTGGAAGACTTTGATTATGTTTATTATAGCAAATGAAACAAAAGTAAATTATCCTGGAGCTATCCAGAGGACAGCGATGCAGTCATGTTGGGAACTGGGGAAGCTTGATGTTTGGAAGGGATTTCTCAGGAGTCCTTACACCTATCCACAAGTAGCTGGACCAAGTATCACTTTGAATAGTATCACAAGTCCTTAAGCCAAACTTTCTACTCTCAATGACTTCTTAGGTTTGGGGCTCTGAGCATTCACTCAAAAAATAAGCCTTATTTACTTATTGGGAAATAATACTACAGCTTCCCCTGAAGGAATACTGTAAATATTAAATAAAATTATCCACTTAAATGTTAGGACACAGTGCTTGCTATTTCATCACATCTGAATGATATATGCCACTACTAGCATCTTCATTATCATCTTATTGTGATTATCATTGTTGTGCGCATTGTTATTTTTATTATTAATGAAATGATAAAAATATGGCTTCTTTAAACCTCAAGAGTTTTGATTTTATTTTTAGTATTTCTCCACACATACTCATTGGAATATACGTTCAATGGAAGTAGACTGAAGGAATATTTTGGAGGTGTGTTACATAAAAGAGCATCACTATATTTTGATAAATTTGCACAATAAATCTAACATATTACATATCTAATCAAACTGAAAGCCTGTTTTGATATGACAACATGGCAATAATTGGATTCATGAACATGCTTTGCTGTCCAGATTTTTCTTCAGGGCAAATTTGACATCCTTATTTCTTAGGCTATAGATTGGGGGTTCAGCATGGGCACAATAGTAGTATAAAACACAGAGGACACTTTCCTCTGGTCCATGGAGCTGACAGATGATGGCTGCAGGTACATGAATGCTGCAGACCCAAAGAAAACAGCAACAGCCAAGATGTGGGAGCTGCAAGTGCTGAAGGCTTTGGACCTGCCCTCAGTGGAGCGAATGCGGAGGATGCTGGCAATGATAAAGATGTAAGAAGCAAGGATGGTTAAGGCAGGCGTCAGGATGTTAAATGCACTCAAGACCAGAACCAGTAATTCATTGATGTAGGTGCTGGAGCAGGAGAGCCCCAAGAGAGGGAAGAGATCACAAAAATAATGGTTAATCACATTAGTCTTGCACAAAAAGAGTCTCAACATAAAGCCGGTGTGAATTGTAGATCCAAGGATGCCTAAAACGTAAACTCCCACTGTGAGCCAGAAGCAGTGGTGATAGGACATGATGACATTGTACAGCAAGGGGCTGCAGATGGCAACATAGCGGTCATATGCCGTTACAGCCAACATGTGACACTCTGCAATAGCAAAAATGAGGAAGAAGTAAAGCTGAGTCATGCATTCAGGGTAGGAGATGATGTTCTTCTCTGTCACAAAGTTCACCAGCATTTTGGGGGTAATGATAGTGGAATGGCAGAGATCAATGAAGGACAGACCACTGAGGAAATAGTACATGGGGGTATGCAGGTGAGAACTGAGCCCAATCAGTGTGATCATGCTCAAGTTGCCCACCACTGTGACCACATAGATTCCTAAGAACAGGAGGAAGAGGCGCAGCTGGAGCTCTGGCTGTTCTGAGAGCCCAGCCAGAATGAACTCAGTCACTGAGGAATGGTTTCCTGCTGACATTTTCCTTTGGTCAGTTTCTACGGAGGAAAGAAAAACCATGGTGTTTGTAGGGATTGAGTTGCTATTCTACTTTTGGAGGAGGGTATCCCATGCTGAGGATTCATGATTTAGATGACTTTGGTTTATATATAATAATTTAACTCTGGGTAAATTAGCTAAGTAATATTTTTATTAATTAAATATTTTATAGCTTAATATCAAATAGTTGTTTTTTATATAAAATATTTCAGCCATAATTATTATCATTTAAGAATTTTAATTGCTACTCTCTGGGTTGAACATTCCAAAGATTTCAAGTCAACTTTTCTGAGCTGTTTTTCGCACACTTAAAAACTTACAAGGGCTAATGAAAATGATGGAAGCTGGCTGAGCTGCCACTGGGAGAGAGCAGACCTGCATTCAGTACGGTGTCCTTTATTAACGAGCAGAGAAGTTCTGCCAAGGGTAACAGAGGTGCATTATGGCTACATCTTTGGAGGATTTTAATGATAATCAGGCAATTTAGGTTTCTATTAAAAATTATCAGATTTTCAGTATTATTATTAAAATGAAATGGCACCAACAAGATTCATGATACAGATCTACCAGTGGAATTGTCCCACTGCAGCAGTGTTATGGCTCTTGGACCAAATATTACACCTCTGCCTTTGTTGGAGGAAAACAGTGGGAGTAGCGGCTAAATAAAAAATCCTTAATATCAAAGTGCCTGTGTTCATATTCTGATCCTCTCATTTACCAGTTGATAAGTGTGGACAATTAAATTAACATCATCATCTAATTAGCAGATATTTAGCACTCTGAAAATGACAACAATAATTGTTTTCGTTGTTGTTCCACCATCCATCAATTGGAAAATGAGGGATATTTATATACTTCAAAATACAAAAATAGTAAACATGATGTTCACACATTTTCATTAATCTCTTTCCTCTTTCTTTAATTAGGAGTGTGCCAAAGATGGAGTTATAAAATTAGGAAATATATAAATGTAGCCTCTGTTATGCACTAAACAAAAGATTTTGTCATTTGATACATTAATGTAAAATTCCAAATAAGTCATACTTGAATTTTAAATAAAGTAGAAACAGAAAATCTAAAATCTTCTATCTCACACCCATGCAAACAAGAATATTGAAATAAATCTTAAATTTAAGCATAAACAATAAACTATTAAACTTTAGGAAAAAACACTAGAGGAAAATTTCAATATAGTGGAGTAATCCAATTAGATTCCTTAGGACATATATGCACACATGAATTAGCCATATAACATTGATAAATCCTTTTTTATCCTAATTAAAAGCACATCTCCAAAGGTACCATTAAAAAAGCACAAGATTATGTCCATTGCAGGGACATGAATGTATTATCCTTAGCAAACCGACACAGGAACAGAAAACCAAATACCATATGTTCTCACTTCTAAGTGGGAGCTAAATGATTTGAACACATGACCACTTGGACACATAGAGGGGGACAACACACACTGGGGCCTATCAGAGCCAGTGGAAGGTGGGAGGAGGGAAAAGATCAGGAAAAGTAACTCACGGGTACTGGGTTTAATACCTGGGTGATAAAATAATCTGTACAACAAACTCCCCTGACACAGTTTACCTATGTAACAAACCTGCACATATACCTCTAAACTTAAAATAAAAGTTAAAAAAAGAAAATTAAGAGTAAGCCACAAAAAATACGTATATCTGACTATGGCCTTTTATGTAAATATATACAAATAATATCAACATGTCAATGATACAAAGACAATAGACCAAATTAAAATATAAGAAAAGTATTTGTATAGATGATATATGACAGAAGATATGTAAATAGTTGATAAGCACGTAAAAAGATACCAAATTCATTATTCATCAGGAAAATTACATACCACTACACAGCCACATGGAAATGGCTAAAAATTATAAAAGAAAGAAAAAACAAAATAAACAAAAACTTACAGTTCCAAAGTTTGCCAAGGATATGGGATAACTCAAGCTCTCACACATAGCTGGTGAGGAGAGGTGTAAAACCGTACAACTACTTCGGAAAACTGCTTGGCAATATCTTAGAAAGTTAATCATATACTTAGATTATAACCCAACAATTCTGCTATTCAGGGTTTACTCAAGAGAAATGTAAACATGTATCTACACAATGACATGTACAAACATGTACCTGGAAGCCTTGTTACTAACAACTCCAAACTGGAAACAACCCAAATATTCATTCATTTATTCAATAACCATTGAATAAATGAATGAATTGTGGGATTTGCATAGAATAGAACACTACTCATCAATAACAAGGAATAAATCACAGATATATGCAACAATATGGATTAATCTTCAAAACATCATGTTAAGCAAAAAGCCAGACAAAAAAGAGCACATATTGTACAATTCCGTTCATACGAACTTGTAGAACAGCAGAACTAATTTTATGGTGATAGAAATGAGGTCAGTAGCTACTGTAGAATGACTAGAAAGGAGCACGGGAAATCTTCAGGGATGATAAAAATGTTTCAATAAGGAAGTGTTGATTTCACCAGTTTATAGTGTATGCATCTGTCAAAACTCATTTAGGAGTTTTACACTTAAAATGGGTACTTTTATCCTTAATGTAATCTAGATAAAATTACATTTTGATATACTCTTATAAAGTATTAAATATAATAAATTAATAAAATTATTTTCAAAATAAAAACCCTAATAATCGGCAAAGATAAAGGAGGTCTGAATGAGAGTCATAAATTTGAAGATAATCATATGTATGTATAGCTGTATACACATACACACACACACGATCTTACGGCATGCAACAACTAATGACACAAATTCTTTTTAAGGTCACATGGAACCTTTACAGAATTATTTATATGCTGGTTCATAAAGCAAGGCACAATATTTTCCCAGACATTTTCACTGTTCTTCACATTTAAGAATGTAATAACACCAATCTTACAGATTTTCTTCTAAAATACAGAAAAAGCACATAGAAAATATCCAAAAGTAATAATAAATAAAAAGCCTCTTAGCAAACTAGGCATAGGCAGTAAGTTCTTGGAGCTGCCTAAAAAGCACATATAGCTGCCAGGCATGGTGGCTCATGCCTGTAATCCCAGCACTTTGGGAGGCCGAGGCAGGTGGATCACTTAAGGCCAGGAGTTTAAGACCAGCCTAGCCAACATAGTGAAACCCCTCACTACTAAAAATACAAAACAGTAGCTGAGTGTGGTGGTGCACGCCTGTAATCTCAGTTGCTGAACTGGCTGAGGCAAGAGAATCGCTTGAACCCGGGAGGTGGAGATTGCAGTGAGCCGAGATAGCGCCACTGCACTCCAGCCTGGGTGACAGAGCGAGACTCAGTCTCAAAAATAAAAAAAAAAGAATAAAGTATGACAATCTATGCTACCTCTTGCAATTCTCCAGACCTAGTTCACATTTGGTTCCTTTCCATTTCTGGAATATGTCATATTTTCTTAGCTATCTGAACATTTATTTGTGCTTCCTTTCAGATGAAATAGTCTTACTAAATCCTATCCCTCAATTGCCTGGTGAAATTGTATTTCTTCCAAGTCTCATTTAAAAATTACACCATCAGGAAGACATCTGCAACTCACTGGAATAGATTGACCTTCCTAACACAAGCTTAGAAAGCAACCTATTATTTCTAACACAATGCAATTGTACACTGTGAGCTAAACTATAAGACAGATGTAAGACTAACTTAAACTTCTCCTCTTCTTTAACCCAAGTAACCAGCATCTGACACATCAAAGGTGCTTAAAAATATTTTATGAGTGAATGAAAGAATGAATGAATGTTTTTAGAGGGATCTTTGAATTTTGACAACAATTACTTCAGGCCTAATAGTTTTAAATCACAAGTGTGAGATGACCGCAGTCACCTTACCTCTGCTTGAGAAATGCAATGCCAAATTTTACCTGCAACTTACTCTCTTTGACTTGGAAAAGAATGGCACTAATGCTGGTGTTGGGTGTTTCTACTATCTTTTGTGCTGAGAAAGAGGGCAGGGCACATCCCTCAGTCTGGCCTCAGAAGCTGGTCTACATCACAAATCAGCATCCACAATTGTAACCTTTCATTTTTTTCTGCAGCACCAGAGAAGCAAATATCCTTGCCTTTGACAGTCGCCGGAGCAGTTCTGATGGCTGTGCTATAAAGCTATGTCCTTGGTTTAAACACATCAGGTACCAAATAACATGGAACAAATATTCCACAGAGATTTCCATTTCTCAGGGAAGCTAGCTCTTGAGAAAAGAAGCAATTACAGTTGACTCTCTAGTGGCCTTTTTTTTTTTCCTCAAGTGAGATTATCTGTCAATCCTAAACTTATCAATTAGTGATAAAGTTTTGTGTGCAGGGATTACCTGAGCATTTTGTTAACATATAGACACTGATCCTGCAGGTCTGAGTGGGGTCTGAGATTCTTCACTTCTTATAGCCAGTGCTATTGGTTCACAGCCTACACTATAATGAGCAGGTTTCAGAGCACCAGGCATATCCTGACAAGTTATCTTACTGCTAATAGGACTAGATAATACTACATAACCAATTAAGCCACCTATTTCCTTGTGCAAAAATGTTTAATTTATTTTATGTATAAACAGGTATATACTTGATTCAAAAGTAAAATCTATATATACTTGGATTTTAAGAGATATGGGGTAGGAATTCATAATATTGATATAGTACTTAACTTTTTTAAGATCCCTTAATAATATTTTTCCTGCATTAATTCGAATATTTAGATATTTTATTTTTAGCTTCCTATGTTCCATGTTCCTTCTTATTTCTTATATATTTTTCCTGTTTTTCTCTAACATAGGAATAATTGGATGCAGTCTTCACAGAATAAATCAAGGTAAATTTGGACACTCATATCAAAGTAGAGATAAATACATTAGGTTCAATTCTACTTAAAGAAGTCGATGATTGGACTATATTCATCTTTCTCAATTATTACTGCATATTTAAAACCAAGGGATTTTTAAAATACAATATTAGATGTCCTCCGCATATCACTTCAAAATCTTGGGATCTGAAGTCAGATACCGGCATTTCTTAAAAGCTTATCACACTGGGGATCCTCTTCAAATGCAGATTCTGATTTGGTAAGTTTGATACATAGCTTCAGATTTGCACTTTTAAGCATCTGTCAAGTTTTGCCAATGCTGCTGGTGTATGGACCACTCTGTGAATTGAGGTGTTCCATGATATCTCATATTAAATCCTTCCCACAAAAATTTTTTCAGAGTGCAGCAAGTTCTTTCATATCATGTATCAGAGAGCTTCTATTTAGCTTTAGAATTACAATGCCTGCAGGATTCTGAGATGTCTATAACAAATTATGATGTATTTGGATCACCACTTCACAGGAGAGCAGACTATGACTAACTATTACATCAACATGATAAATAATAGGAGTGAGAAATAGTTGAAGCTTGGTTGAGATGATAAATGGGAATGCTATCAATAGGCCTTTTCATAAGTAATTATACAATAATGAGAATCACTGAGAGACTGATTTAAACATGGTATTGGAATAAAACATTCAGATAGACCTGAAATAAATTTGTACATCTGTAGTGAACTCATTTTCTACAAAGGTGACAAGAAGATACATTGGAACTAAAGGACATTCTTTTCAGGAAATGGTGCTGGGAAAACTAAATATCAACATGCAGAAGAATGAAACTTGACCCCTATGTTTTACCATATGCAAAAATCAAATTAAAATGGATTAAATGCTTAAATCTAAGACCTCAAACTAGGAAGCTACTACAAGAATACATTGGAGAAACTTTCCAGGACATTGAAGTGGGAAAAGATTTCTTGAGTAATACTCACAAGCACAGGCCAAAGCAAAAATGGACAAATGGAATCACATCAAGTTAAAAAGCTTCTTCACAGCAGAAGACAATCAACAAAGTGAAGAGAAAATCCATAGAATGGGAGAAAATATTTGCGAACTACTCATCTGATAGTGGATTAATAACTAGAGTGTATAAGGAGCTCAAACAACTCTATAGGAAAAAAAACTCATAATCCAACTAAAAATGGGCAAAAGATTTGAATAGACATTTCTCACAAGAAGATATACAAATGGCAAACAGGCATATGAAAAGATGCTCAACATCACTGATCATCAGAGAAACACCAATCAAAACTATAATGAGATATCATCTCACCCCAGTTAAAATGGCTTTTATCCAAAAGACAGGCTTAACAAATGCTGATGAAGATGTAGAGAAAAGGATACCCTTGTACACTCTTGGTGGGAATGTAAATTAGCACAATCTTTAGGCAGAATAGTTTGGAGGTTCCTCAAAACACTGAAAGTAGAGCTACCTTACAATCCAGCAATCCCACTCGTAGTATACACCCCAAAGAAAGGAAATCAGTATGTTGAAGAGACATCTGCACTTCTATGTTTACTGCAGCACGATTCACAATAGCCAAGATTTGGAAGCAACCTACGTGTCCATTAGCAGACAAATGGATAAAGAAAATGTGGTACATATACACAACGAAGTACTATTCAACCATAAAAAAGAATAAGATTTTGTCATTTGCAACAACATGGATGAAACTGGAGGTCATTATGTTAAGTGAAATAAGCCAGGCACAGACAGAGAAATTTCACATGTTCTCACACATGGGAGCTAAAAGTTAAAACAATTGAACTCATGGAGATAGAGAGTAGAAGAATGGTTACCAGAGGCTGTGAAGGGTAGTAGGTGGGGTCAGATGGGGGGGCAGGGTTGGGAAAATGGGGAGGGTTAGTGGGTACACATAATAGAAAGAATGGAAAAGACCTGGTATTTGCTAGCACAATAGGGTTACTATAGTCAAAAATAATTTAATTGTATATTTAAAAATAACTAAAAGGGTATAATTGGATTATAACACAAAGGATAAATGCTTGAGGTGATAGATAAACCATTTACTCTGATGTGATTATTATGTATTGCAAGCTTGTTTCAAAATATCTCATGCAACCCATAAATATATACACCTATTATGTACCCACAAAAATTGAAACTTGAAATTAAAAAAAATAAGGAGTGGTGTCTTACAGTGACCCAGGGTGGTTCATGAACTACTTCAGCTTACTCTTCTATCTTTGTGCCTTGATTATAGTACCCTGAATATGACATGCTTTTTCCCTCTTCCTTGATAAAGCTACTGCCTTTTAAGTAGCCTATATTTTGTGTATGAGCTCAAGCCATATTGATTCAAGTGTCTACCCAACAGTGCTTTTTGGTTTGTCCTCTTTTAGCCTATTGGTATATATGACAGTCTGTTGGACAGAGTGCTAGACTGGGAATCATGCCTAAGACAAGAGTTATAGTTGTAGCCATTTTCCCTTACTTTATATAAATGATGAAAATTAAGTGAAATAATAAATGCAATGGGTCCTTGAGAACAAATCTCTTACTGCATTGAATGGATGGATAATGAAATATAAGAATGATAAAGACATATTGTACTAGTTGTTCCTATATTAGGAAATTATAGTGAACACCAAAACTTGTTATATTAGTTGAATAACACGGAACAGCATCAAAAAATATTGATCTGACAATAGCGAGTAGGTAATTTAAATTGGGGAGAGACACAGGCAATCGAGTAATTAGAATATCGTGGATATTCACAGTTACAGGATGTTAAATGCCCAGAAGCAGAAAAGTAATAACATGAGGGCAGAGAAGAGATTTTTTTAAGGAAAATTTGACATAAAATGGCACCTGTTTATAAATTATGATACCAAAGAGTGTGAACCACATGGAAGCAATGCAACTTAGTAGAATTTTCAGCTGCCCCAGTGATCTGCCTCATAAAGAGCCATAGTGTTATTGGTATGACGATAAAACAATGTGTGTTTTTTATAAATTGTTGATATGAAGTATAATAATATAAGTATCTACAATGCATCTCTATAATAAGACTAGAATAATTTTCTGGTTTTGCTTTGTTTTTCGTAGATCATTACAAATTTGAAAGATTTTGGTTATGTTCATTATGATAAATGAAATAAAAGTGAAACTGTCATGAAGCTGTCCAGAGGACAGTGACACAATCATGTAGGGAACATGTCATAGGGAACGGGGGAAGCTTGATTTGCAGACAGAAATTCTCTAGAGTCCTTAGACCTACTCACAATTACCTGGACCAAGTACCACTTTGAATAATGTCAAAAGTCCTTGAGCCAACCTTTCCAGTCTCAATGTCATATTATGGTTGGAACCCTGAGCAGTCACTCAAATAAATGTTTAATTTTTTTCATATTTAAAAGCATAATAATACTAAGACTTTCCCTGAAGTAATACTGTAAATGTTAAATAGAGTGACCCATTTAGCTGGGTGCTTGATATTTCATAAACTTTCAATAATATATGTTATTACTATCATTCTCATTACCATCATCATCATTGCTGTTGTTGTTGAGGTTGCTGTCTATATTATAATTAAAAGATAAAACTAGGGGCTGAGAGTAGTGGCTCAAACCGGTAATCCCAACACTTTGGGAGGCCGAGGCAGGCAGATCACTGAATGTCAGGAGTTCGAGACCAGCCTAGCCAATATGGTGAAACCCTGTCTCTACTAAAAATTTAAAAATTAGCCAGGCATGGTGGCACACGCCTGTAATCTCAGCTACTCAGGAGGCTGAGGCAAAAGAATTTCTTGAACTTGGGAGGCGGAGGCTGCAGTGAGCCAAGGTCGAACCACTGCACTCCAGCCTAGGTGACAGAGCTAGACTCCATCTCAATAATAATAATAAATAAAACTAGGGATACTTTAAACCTCAAAAGTCTTTTGATTTTATTCTTTGTATTTCTTTACATATGCTCATTGGAATATAAGTTCGATGGAAGCAGACCGGAGGAATATTTTGGAGAGGTGTTACATAAAAGAGCATCACTAAATTTTCATAAATCTCAACAATAAATCCAATAAGTTAGATATCTAATCAAACCAAAGACCTATCTTGATGTAACAACATAACATTGATTCTATTCATTAACATGCTGTCTGATGCAGAATTTTCTTCACGGCAAGTTTGACATCTTTATTCCTCAGGCTGTAGATCAGGGGGTTCAGCATGGGCACAATAGTAGTATAAAACACAGACGACACTTTCCTCTGGTCCATGGAGCTGACAGATGATGGCTGCAGGTACATGAATGCTGCAGATCCAAAGAAAACAGCAACAGCCAAGATGTGGGAGCTGCAAGTGCTAAAGGCTTTGGACCTGCCCTCAGTGGAGTGAATGCGGAGGATGCTGGCAATGATAAAGATGTAAGAAGCAAGGATGGTTAAGGCAGGCATCAGGATGTTAAATGCACTCAAGACCAGAACCAGTAATTCATTGATGTAGGTGCTGGAGCAGGAGAGCCCCAAGAGAGGGAAAAGATCACAAAAATAATGGTTAATCACATTAGTCTTGCACAAAAAGAGTCTCAACATAAAACTGGTATGAATTGTAGATCCAAGGATGCCTAAAATGTAAACTCCCACTGTGAGCCAGAAGCAGTGGTGATAGGACATGATGACATTGTACAGCAAGGGGCTGCAGATGGCAACATAACAGTCATACGCCATTGCAGCCAACATGTGACACTCTGCAATAGCAAAAATACTGAATAAATAGAGCTGAGCCATGCATTCAGGGTAGGAGATGATGTTCTTCTCTGTCGCAAAGTTCACCAGCATCTTAGGGGTAATGACAGTGGAATGGCAGAAGTCAATGAAGGACAGACTGCTGAGGAAATAGTACATAGGTGTGTGCAGGTGAGAACTGAGCCCAATCAGTGTGATCATGCCCAAGTTGCCCACCACTGTGACCACACAGATTCCTAAGAACAGGAGGAAGAGGCGCAGCTGGAGCTCTGGCTGTTCTGAGAGCCCAGCCAGAATGGACTCAGTCACTGAGGAATGGTTTCCAGGGTCCACGATCTTGTCAACAGTCTCTAAGTTTTAAAAAGAGAAATTGAATGTGTTTGTGTGTGAGAGAGAAATTATTTGTAAATCATTGCATATTCTATACCTTATCAGAGGAGAAACAGAATGCAGTGGTCTCCTGAGCCTCTCTTGCTACTGTTTAATAGACAATAGTCTGGTCGACCAGAGGAGGAACTGCAGACATCAAAAACATTAAAATTTAGTTCATATCCTTTTAAGAGAAAACACCAATTTTTGACCTCAATAAGAAAGCAAGCTACTAATGTTATTTCAGAGGATTCTTTTCTTTCCTACCATATTCTCTAGGATATAAATACGTCATGCACATCAAATAGCATAGCCATGAGATTTTCATTTTACTCAGATTAGGAAAGAGAACCAAATGCTCCTTATAATGTATCAATATAGAAGTCCTGGCCGGGCGCAGTGGCTCATGCCTGTAATCCCAGCACTTTGGGAAGCTGAGGTGGGAGGATCACTTGTTTGAGACAAGCCTGGGCAACAAAGCAAGACCTCATATCTATCTATCTATCTATCTATCTATCTAATCTATCTATCTAATCTATCTAAAAATAGAAGGCATGAGTTTATAAAATTAGTTATATTAGTCTGAGTTACTTTTCTTATGAGAATTTCAACTAAAAATAGCTGAAGAACTGGGTAATGACCTGTCTCATTCTGCCCGAAATTTCAGCTCTTTATTTCTCAACTTTCTTCACCCAGACCTGCTATTCTGCAAGGCAAAAACATAACTGCGTGGCTGATAGCATCCTTATACCTCAGGAGCTTTTCCAACAGTGAGGGAATTGCCTCTCTTGTTCTAATTTGAATAATCCCAAGGGAGTAATACAATGGTCTCAATGCAGGTCACCTATTATCCCATTCTGGCCAGGGGAGCAGAAAACTATGATTGGTCTACATTAAGTGTACTTCGTGGCTGAATTGGAGAAGATCAGAAAAGTACTCATATTCTCCAAAACCGAGAAGGCTTTCTGAAAACAAACATTAGATATCTTCTATACTGATCACTTTTTATAATCATATATTTTGCCTGTGCTCACTATAAAATTTAAAGATAATGGCTATGTGGATTAGTAGAGCACATGCAAAATACAATTCACAATCTTAGTCTAAATATAAAACTAGTCAACAGTGTGATGTGGATTTTCAAAAAAGGCTAATACATATTTACTTTTGCAAAGAAAATTAGTAGATTCTAGATGAAAGAAATTTATGGTCTTATGTAACACTCCAGCAATAGCTGGATTAGTGTTTTCAGTTTAGGGTTTAATATTTTATGTGGAATATAGAAAAACTGGACAATATCAGAAACATGATCTAAAAATATTGTCATTTGAATAATGACTGACATAACTGAGGTTTTAGCTAGCACAATATAAATATATGTGGCACATGGCATTTATATCCAAATGTTCAAAATATCTAAGAGGTATAGGGCTCCTTGTATATGTCTCTAAGAGAGAAAAAATAAAAACTAAGTGCTTCAAATGATGGAGAGAAATATTTGGTTTCACAACAAAAAAGAACATTCCAAAAGTCAAACACACCTTAATTTACTTATAGCCAGAAATGTCAGAGTCAGCTTGTATAACCATTTAGCAGACATTATTCAAGGACACAGCATGAGATGGGTGCTTGAATTCAATCAGCTTTAATATATCTTCTGGTTCCAATATTTCATGATTTAAAATTCTAATGGGCTATGATATTAGATCAGGCAGTCTGGGTTAAAATATCATCTCAACCATATACATGCTGTGTGATCTTGAGAAAATTACTTCTCGTCTTCAGGCCTCTAAAAAGTAGAAATGTTAATATCATTCTCATGTAAAAATCAAAAGACGCATAGTTCCCATCTGTTGGTAAGAACTTAATAAATGTCAGTGTTATTTTAACTGTAATCTATTGAGCCTTCTCTGAAATATTTTTTATTTGCTCAAATTTTTATTCCAATAATGATGGCTGAAGGTTTTTTCCCTCCCTCAGCATATCTTGTTTTTGCTCCTTCCTACATGGATACACATATTAACACAGAGATTCAGAATTATTTTTTTTACTGAACAGTAACCTCTTTAAATCAGCACTATTTTTCATTTCCTCATAGGAAGCTCAAATCAATATCTCTTATTCAAAGATTGTTATCATCTGGCAACCAAAATAAAAGTTTTCTTCTTTTATGTCCCAACAAGTACTATATGATTTGGCTATTACATGATTTGGCCATTTGGTACTCTCTCAGTTTTAACTCATGATGCCCCTTTAATTTTTCTCTTTGTCTATCATCTGTAGCCTATGACATCCTATTTAATAGTTAAGGCTCTTTAGTTAAGGGCTTTAATAGTGCAAACTCTACTTAATAAGGCCATTTAATAGTGCAAACTCTACTTAATAAGGCCATTTTCTATGTCCATACATATATTTCTTATGTTTACATGTAACACTAATTTCATTCTATGTTATTATTATTTATTTATTTGCTTTTCTTCTGTACTAGACTATAAATTCAATATAGTGCTTGGTGTAGTGCCTTGCATATAGCAACTCAATACATATATGTTCAATAAAATTGCTCAAAGAAGCTTAGAGATATGTAAATATGGATTCAAAATAACTGAATAAAAACCCTCTTACTGCCTGAATTGAAATGAGTAAACACAGAAGTGTTTGTCATAAATGTATATTGCAGAGAACAAGTAGATGACAAGGGAACCACTGCTCATCAAGGCATGTGAATGTGAGAATAAGGACAGGGAGAGACAGATGAATAGCTGTGTGCATCTCTCTTTGCACTGCGAAAGAAGCTGGAACAGGAGACTCCAAGATTTTAAAGTCAAAGACTGGGACTCATACATACCCATCCTTTCTGCCAGGGTCCAGGGTTGTACATTTTTCTTCTCCATTGCTCTGGAGGGAAAAATGAATCTGATGGTACGAGGAGGTCATAGCCCAAAAGTCTCCTTGGCAATTATTTTGAGTCATTCATCCTGATCTCTGACAAAGCTGATGCCTAAAGCCATCTGGCACTCTGCAAAGGGTGGCTGATGTGAGGATTTTATATGCTGGGTAAGAGTAAGAGTCTGATAGGGAACAAACAATGATAATGATCTCCCTCTAGATTCTATTCCCACAAATGTCAGCTCTTGGGAAAAGAAACAATTAGAATTTCCCTTTCCCCCTCTTGGTTCTCAAGTGTTTCCCTATTGGCATATGTTGTGATTCATTGTTCTTGTAATATTACAGATTGGAAATGAGGATGTGAGAGACTTTGTTGGAGCTCTAGTGAGTTTCATCTCTTTAGTGAGACAATGAAAAGTTCAAAATTTCAGCCAATTTTTAAAACATACATTAAAGGAATTGTCTAAAGTGATTTGTCACAAGGGGAAAATAGAAAATCAGAAATAACAACAAATGTTTCTAAAATTTGAAAGTTTTCATTTTCATTTACCTCTACTAATGATATTTTGATATCATGATGTATTCATAAAACAGTAATGCTTGAAATGTTTTAACTTGAGGGCTGTTTCCTTTCAGATCAATGAAGAAGAAAATGCTTTCATTCAGTCCCCAAGTTAAAATATGATAGATATTGCCAAGACCCTGAGGAGTTCCTAGTAAGCCTAACAAGGAGAGTTGATGACTTTTTTCATCAAAAAATAAGAATGATATTGAGGAACAATAAAGACATATGTGTTACAGAAGTTATTTTTGTACTTATATAAAACTAAATTATTTTGGAAGTAAAATTATATTTCATGTTTTGTTAAACGTTATATTGATGGCAAAAGTAGGCCATCCAGAACCGCCGCTACCATGGTGCCAGCTGCAGTGGGGAGGCCAGCGGTTGTGGCAGGAGAGGCTGCAGGGGCAGCAATAACGGTGGTGGGACCCCTGTCCCCCATGTCTCCAAGGCAGGCAACTGAGCCACCCCCACCTTTGCATGACCAGGTAAGACCCACCCCTAGGCCTAGAGACTCTGTGGCTCCTGACCCTGGCCCCATGTCACCACTCTTGCCTGCCACTGCTGTGGGGAGGGGCTGGGGAGGAGGCAGACAGTCTCTGGACCCCGCCCCTGGAAGCCACCTGGAGCCTGTCATGGTGGGGACCACCACGAAGGGGCTGGGCCGAGTTTCCTGGTGGGGGAGCAGCACGGTTGGGCATGGAGGCCTGGCAGAGATGGCCCCGAGGCAGAGCTGGGCCCAGCATGGTGCTGTGGTTGGAGATGGAGTGTGGAGGATGGGCCAGAGGTAACATCTGCTTTGGGGACCTGGCCAGTGGCATGGCCACCATGCCCACCTTGCTGATGGTGCCAGGTTCCTGTGCCCTGAGAAAAGGCTCTGCACTGGGGGTTGAGTCTCAGGGGTCTGCCCTGCATCTGGACAACCACCAAGCCTGACACTCCTGACCTCTAGTCCCAGGACCTGAAATCGGCTCCTAGAGGTGCCCCTGAGGCAGGGTCACAAGCTGACCAAGTGGGAGCCCTGGGCCACCCCTGAGCACCAGGGCCATGGGAAGAACTTATGTTGATGTCACTCCTGCCCTGGATGCCAGCCCAGGCCCAGCAAGGACTTGGAGCCCCTGCCCCAGGCTTAAAGGAGGCGTGGCTGGGGCTGCATGCTGCAGGGCCAAGGATAAGCAGGAGTCCGGCCCCTTCCAAGCTGGCAGGGTGGGAACTCCCTGGGTGCAGCTGCAGCCATCCTGCCATGTCTGCTGTGGCTGCAGGCCCAGGCATCTCTGCAGACTTGGGGGCCTGGGAAGGCTCCCCTGGCCCTCGGTGGGATGAGGGTGCCTGCTCCCTCTGCCTGGCTTCTCTCTGCTGTTGGTGCCAGCTCTGAGTCAGGACCAAGCCCGGGCATTGTTGTAGCCCAGCCGGGGGTGCACATGCTCAGGCAGGCTCCTGGGCAGAAGGTGGCGGGTCCTTGGTGAAGCCCTACCTCCAAGCTGGAGAGGGCCTGAAGCTTGGGGATGGGGTCACCAGTCCCACAGACCAGAGGGGGAACTTATGGTGCTTTTCCCTACGGCGACTCATGGACTAATCAGTACACGTTTTCTCCCCTCTGAGGCCCATAAAAACCCCAGAGTCGGCCAAACTGGAGCAGAGGATGGAGAGACAAAGGGAGATGATGAGATGACCAGCTGCAGAGAGGAGCTGACCACCCCAGGGTTTCCTGTCTGCTGAGAACCAAGGAGATGATAGGACGACCAGCTGCAGGGAGAAACTACCCTCTCTGCTAAGAGCTGGGCACTTGACGGGATGACCTGCCTAGCAGAGAGGAGATACCCTCTCTGCTGAGAGCTGAAGAGATGACTGGGTGACCACCTGCAGAGAGGAACTACCCTCTCTGCTGAGAGCTTGACACTCATTGGGAAACCCTGCTATGGAGAGGAGCTGCCCATTGCAGGTCTCCTCTGAGCTGTTCTATTGTGCGATAAAGCTCCTCTGTGTCTTGCTTACCTTCCACTTGTCTGCGTGCCTTATTCTTTCTGGTCTCAGGACGAGAACCTGGGACCCACTGAATGGCAAGGCTAAAAGAGCTGCAACAGAAATAGGGCTGAAACATGCCCCTTGCTCACCATGTTGTGGGTGAACAGGAGAGAAGAGCTGCGGCCCTTTGGGGATCCCAGACCTGGGAGCTCCCCGAGACAGCACTGTGACTTCTTCTTTGGGGCCCTGCAGTTCCTGGTGTCTCCAAGCTTTTAGGTGCCACCACATTCCCCGGTGCCAGCTGAGGAAGCTGCTTGCAGTGCACCTAGTCCAGCTGCAGCCTTGCAGAGAGTGTCAGCACCTGGAGCTGCCCATCCCGCAACAGCAGCTGGTGTGTCTGATGTAAGCAATGGCCAGACCCCATGCTCACTCACACACCCCCCACTATTCCACGCCTGACGCACAGTCTCCCTTGAAGGTGTGAGACCCAGGCCGGTAGTGGGGGCCTTGCCATAAATATATGTCAAAATACACAAAATGTATTTAGCAATATTTATTGCTGTCAATCTCTTCCACTAAGTATTATCTCCTTATGGGTAGAAACTGTTTTATTACCCATCATATGCCTCCATATTCCCTAATATATTTCTACATGCTTAGTAAGAATTAGTGATTGAATCTGGTATTCAAAATGGTTGCAATTATTTATTTTGGAGATCACACTTTGAGAAGTGTTTACCTATACACTTAGTAGAAAAACCCAGGTACACAGGTATTGAGAATATCATGGGGACTGACAAGATATATTTATTCCTTAAAGTAAGGTAAATAAGTCTTGCCTTAAAAAGTGCCATATTCCATACTTATAAAGTATAATCACACACGGAGGCTTATGAATTTTTTTTAAATGTTTAGAAGTGATACGTGTTACTCTGAGTGGATGAACTCTGTGGCATCCCATAAATGCTCCCAACATGTAACTGATCCTATGAATTCAGCCTTATCCTTGGCATCTTTCTTCCAAATAACCAAGTAGTAGCAGCCATCTCATTACTTGTGGACATACCTTACTGTCTCTAGATTGTTTCCTTATCAAACCTTTTCCAGAAATTAAAAGTTTTTGCTAAAGCAAAATACCCCCCTTCATAGGAAACTTCTTTTTTCAAGGAGCTTATTTAAGGCAACTTTCACAGGAAACTTCTTTTTTCAAGGAACTTAATTAAGGCAACTTTGACATCTTTATTCCTCAGGCTGTAGATTGGGGGTTCAGCATGGGCACAACAGTAGCATAAAACACAGAAGACACTCCCCTGGTCCATGGAGCTGACGGATGATGGCTGCAGGTACATGAATGCTGCAGACCCAAAGAAAACAGAAACAGCCGAGATGTGGGAGCTGCAAGTGCTGAAGGTTTTGGACCTGCCCTCAGTGGAGCGAATGCAGAGGATGCTGGCAACGATGAAGATGTAAGAGCTAAGGATGGTGAGGCTGCGGAAAAGGATATTAAATGCACTGAAGCACAAACTACTATTTCATTGATAGAAATACTGGAGCGGGAGAGCTCCAGTAGTGGGAAAAGATCACAGAAGTAATGGTTGATTACATCAGCCTTACAGAAAAGCACTCTTAGCATGCAGACTGTGTGAGCACGTAGCACCAATAAAGCCCATAAAATACACCTCAACTACCATCCAGGAGCAGACCTGATAAGACATGGCGACATGGTAAAGCAGTGGGTTACATATGGCAATGTAGTGGTCATAAGCCATTGCAGCCAACATGTGACATTCAGATATGACAAGAACAAGGAAGAAGTAGAGCTGAGTCATGCATGCTGGGTAGGAGATAATATTCCTCTCTGACACAAAATTCACCAGCATTTTTGGGGTAATGACAGAAGACTGGCAGAGATCAATGAAGGACAGACTGCTGAGGAAATGGTACATGGGGGTGTGCAGGTGAGAACTGAACCCTATTAGAGTGATCATGCTCAGGTTGCCCACCACTGTGACCACATAGATTCCCAGGAAGAGGAGGAAAAGAGGCAGCTGGAGCTCTGGTTTGTCTGTTAGCCCAGCGAGATTAAATTCAGTCACCGTGGAATGATTTCCTTTTACCATTTTCTCTGGAAATTTTATGTAGAAAGAGAAGAAGAAAATTTGAGTTAGGTATTCATTATCCCACTAACACGATAAAATGTGAAACAAAATTCAAGTTTTTCAACTAGGTAGTTGCAGTTCTCTGCCTGTTCCTCATGTTAGCAGTAAAAGACCCCAGGATCCCTGAAATATGGGATACACAGATACATCTCAGAACTTTCTCTATTTGTGTTCTATGCTATGAGAGTGGATATTGGTACTGCTCAATCCCTGAAAACCCAAAGAACTGTACTGATAACTTTGATTGAATGTTCTAAGGACTTCCCATGCCTTGTTGGTAATCCTCTTGACTCAGCAGAGCAAATGCTAATGTACCTATTTTACTATTAGGTAACTGAGGATGATAGCGGTTGGATATTTGCCCAAAATTAGGCATGTAATAAGTAAATAATCAAGGAGATAAAACCTGTTTCACCTTCTATTATTTTAGCTACTCATGACTTCCCTCCTACTTTTTTACCTCTTTTTTTCATATCAGTGAAGCCTCACTTACAACAATTAATGTGAAAGAAAAAATTCACATAAAGTGCTAACGATGATGTATCAGCACTGATCTAGACTAGATTCCCCTTAAGTGAGTACTTGGACTACTGGCACTGCTTCAAAAACATAGAAATTATGGCTCTAAAAAGTAACCGAATGGTTAGTACAAACTATTTGTACTTGACGTCCAAGAAGGACTTGAGGTTCCTAGTGAGGAGAATTCAGAGTAAGAAATAATAAATATGAAATTAATTCATTCCAGAAACACTGACGGGGTGCCCAGCATGTGCTAAGTACTCTGGCTTGACCTGATGTAGTCCATGGCCCTCTGGGCCTGTAGGAGGACCTGGACTGCAGAATGGCAATCTTGCATGATGCTTGGACTATAGTAACAGTGTGCACTTTGTCTTGGTATATTTTACACTCACCTTCAAACCAGAGTTTTTAACAGCACTTCCTCAGAGGCAAGAGAGACCAAAGCAGGAAAAAATATGGATATCTCTCTAGCTTCAGGACAAGAGTTTGGAAGAAAGCTAATTAAGGTCTGAGCACAGGACACTGTGATGACAGTTCTATGTTCAAAAGAAAGAGATCTGAAAGACAGCATAAGAGGTTTTTGAGGTATCAGCAAACAAAGGTATGAATATTTAGGTAAGGATGAAAGGTGGCCGGGTACTGTGGCTCATGCCTGTAAGCACTTTGGGAGGCCGAGGAGGGCGGATAACGAGGTCAGGAGATCGAGACCATCCTGGCCAACATGGTGAAATCCCGTCTCTTGTAAAAATACAAAAATTATCTGGGTATGGTGGCACATGCCTGTAATCCCAGCTATTCGGGAGGCTAAGGCAGGAGAATTGCTTCAACCAGGGAGTCGGAGGTTGCAGTGAGCCGGGATTGCGCCACTGCACTCCAGCCTGGTGAGAGAATGAGACTTTGTCTCAAAAAAAAAAGCGATATTTCTATTTATTTCATGTTTACCACATGCTTAGAACTGTTCAGGCACTTTCATGAATGTTAAACGATTTCTTTCCCCCACAGCACTATGGGGTACAAGAATATTATTCCCATTCTATAGATGCAAAAGCTACAATTCAGAGACGTTTATAATGTTTTTCAGGGTGACTCTGTGGCTTTTCAATATAGATGTCAAGGATGATTTTCTAGCAGTGCAGATGAAAAATCTGACTTAGCCGTGAGAAATAAAAGAAATAACACATCAGCTAGTATTTATATCTTCCGGAAATGCCGTCTTTCTGAAACCAAACCATGTACAAACACATACTAGATTCAAAGAACATAAGCACTGGAGAAAAATTATAAAGGTTATACTTGGCACTTACTGAGTAATTTTAATTAGACCAGAGTCCATATTTGTACTTATTACTTACACGTGCATAGATTGTTCAATAAGTGGTGTATGAATAAAGGGACTCAACTGGGTTCACAGCATGAAATAAGTAAAACCAAGAGCCTTTGTCTTTCCCAAATTGCCAGTTGCATGTAAACTCCTTTTAAGTGCATGGTGCCTTCCTATCACTAAAATGTCTGCTGTGGTTTCTATACTTACACTGCAGGTCATGTCTGAGAACAGGTAAACATAAAGTCAAAATGTAATATTCTTTGTAGTACTTTGCCTCACAGTACCAAGATATTTTCAGTGTAATACTAATGATTAATAGTAAAATGCTCTCAAGTTTTGTTACTGGCAGTTTTCACATGCTTACTACTTGGTTATTACTTAAATTAGAGTCATGTAAGAATGTGATAACATGGTGAAATTTTTTAATGGAATAGGAAATGGTTTTCTGCCACTTTCTTGTCAGCACTTTTTGTCTACAGCAGTAGAGTTCACTCATAATGGTGAAGCCCTCCTGGAGTAAGGTCTTACTTGTAATTTTTAAGTAATTTTTGGTTATCACAGTTTCAAACGTATGTATAGAATAGTGATAATTGGGGAGGGCAGAGCAAGATGGCAGAATAGAAAGCTCCACCCATCATCCCCCCAACAAGGACAGCAATTTAACAACTATCCGCACAGAAAAACCACCTTCATAAGAACCAAAAATCAGGTGAACACGCATAGCACCAGGTTTTAACTGCATATCTCTGAAAGAGGCACTGAAGAGAGAAATAAACAGTCTTGAATCATGGACACCACTCCTCCCCCACCCCCAGCAGCTGCAGCCTGGTCATGAGAGCATCTCTGGGCACTGGGGGAAGGAGAACACAGCAATTGTGAGGCATTGAACTCAGTGCTGTCCTGTTAGAGCAGAAAGGAAAGACGGACCAAACTCAGCTGATGTCTGCCCACAGAGGGAGCATTTAAACCAGCCCTAGCCAGAGGGGAACCTCCGATCCCAGCAGTCGGAACTTGAGCTCCAGCAAACCTTACCACTGCAGGCTACAGCGCTCTGTGTCTCCAGGCACACTTGAAGGCTATAAGAACTACAACTCTTAGGCAACACCCAGTGCTAAACTAGGCCCAGAGACAGTGGAACAGGGGGACGCATGACATACTGAGACACCAGCCAGGGCAGCCAAGAGAGTGCTGGCATCACCCCTCCCCTAACCTCAGGTTGCACAGCTAATGGCTCCAAAAGAGACCCCTTCCTTCCACCTGAGGAGAGGAAATGGAAGAGTGGGGAGGACTCTGTCTTGCATCTTGGATGTCACCTCAGCCATAGCAAGAGAGGGCACCCGTCAGAGAGGGGAAGCCTCTGTTCTAGGCCATAGCTCCCAGACAACATTTCTAGACACACACTGGGCCAGAAGGAAACCCATTGCATTAAAGGAAAGGACCCAGTCCTGGCAGCATTCATCACCTGCTAACTGAAGAGCCCTTGGGCCCTGAGTAACCAGCAGTGATACCCAGGTACTATATGGAGGGCCTTGAGCAGACATATACTTTAAAATGTTAAGATGTTTAAAATGTTTCTTGTGTGTCTTATCAGAGAAAAAAAATAAATTTAAAAAGTAGACATAGTTAAGGAGGACTGAAATGACAGTATAGTTGGAGATTGTCGGAAAATACCCAGCAGGTTTAAGTGAGGCAGCCAGTGATTTGCTACCTGACACCTCCTTTCTTCTGACTCCCCAGTTTGCCATCTCCTGCAAAGGCCAATCATCCCCAACTCTGAGTCAATTCTATACTTCATTAGAAAAGTTTATGGAAATCTAGAGTACAAATTTGTCAACTCCTGAACAACCCAAACTATTGCTGATTTTGCAAACCCAGAAATGATCGTTTCCCAGTTATCTTTTATAAAATCCCAGTTATTTATTTTAATATATCTCCCAATTTTACCTGTATTAAGAGAGCTCAGTTTCCATATCCTTCCATATTTCTGACTCTTTACGTTGGCCAGTTGACTATTTTTTTCTGTGTTCCTTGACTCTCACAAGTCTGTTCAACCAACTACTAGACACCATCATAGAAGCTCCATGACCTCGTGTCCAATCTTTGTAACTTTGACAGCAGGACAGCAGCTGTGGGGCTCTGATTGATTGCATGTGAACAGTTTCCACTGAAGTCTGACTCTGATACGTGCTCTTAATGCCTACTGCTTCCTGTTCTGCCCTGTTAACAACACCTCTGTGTTTGAATGTCCATGATCATTACTTGTGGAGAACTTCCAAACAACCTGGTCTGCATCAGTAGCCTTAGCCTATCTGTATCTGAGCCATCTTAGAGATGAAGCAAAATACCAAAACAGTTTAAGGGGAAGAAAGGATATTTTTGTTTTTAAACCATTTTACTGAAGTAGAATTGATACATAACCACATATTTAAATGTGTATAATTCGATGAGTTTGGACATATGTAAACATCCTTGATGCCATCACCACAATCGAGGTAACTGACATATTCATTACTTCCCCAAGTTTTCTTGTGTCCATTTATGTTGTTTGTTTTTGTAGTAAGAATACTTAAGATGAGATGTACCCTGTTAACAAATTTTGAAGTCCATTGTGTTAACTATACACACTATGTTGTATGGCAGATCTTTAGAACATATTCATCTAGCATAACTGAAAATTTATACTCAGTGAACAACTCCCTGTTTCTCCCTCCTCTTAGCTCCTGGAAACCGTTATTGGATTCTCTGCTTCTATGAGTTTGACTATTATAGATACCTCATATAAATGGAGATATGCAGCATTTGTCCTGCTGTGATGGGTTTATTTCACTTAGCAGACCACAACAACTAGAAATCAATAAAAGAAAATGAAAATTTCCCAAATTCTTGGAAAATAAACAACATGCATCTACATAATTTATAGGTTAAAGAAGTTTTAAGACAAACAAAAACATATTTTAAACTAAATGAAAACTAAAATACAACTTACAAAAATTTGTGGAATGTAGTAGTGCTTAAAGGGAAATTTAGAAGATTAAAAAATAAATTAGATAAGAAAGATCTAAAATTAATAAACTATGCTTATACCTTAGAATCCACAGAAGCAAGAGACAAGTAAATATTTTTTAAAAGCATAGAAAAATAATAACAATTTAGAGCAGAATTTTAAAAACTGAAAATAGGAAAACAATAAAACCCAACAAAATCAAAATTACTTATTTTTAAAGGTGAATAAAATTGATAAATCTCTAGCCAGGAAAACCAAGAACAAAAGAGGTTAAAACTAAGACAATAAAAATAAAATATGAACTTTAGCTAATAATAAGGTTTCAACATTGGTTCATTGGTTGTGACAAATATTCCATTGTAATATTAACTTGAAACATTTAAACTGGGTACAAGGAAAAATTGGGTGCAAGGTATATGGGAAATCTCTATAATATTTTTGCAACTTTTCTATACATTTAAAATTATTCTAAAATGAGAAGTTAATTTAATACAAAAACTTCTTTCTCCGCCCCCAACAACAACAAAAAAAAACCCTAGAAAATTTTGTGCATTTTGTTTGCCTTCACATCTTTTAGATCTCCTCATGTTTCAGACTCTAATTTTTCTTTTAATTGCACTACAGTTTCATGGCTTCCATCTCTTGATTTCAATTTTTTGCATCTGAACAGTGTCTAAAAGTCACTACTACTTTCTAGGCCCTCAAGCATGATAGGGAGCTAACAAATCAATAACCTCATCTTGGGGGATGAGGCTAATAGAAGTTTTTTACTTACAGAATGACTCTCATGCTTTTTCTGTGGCCACTATTTTATTAGAATCACCTTACTAATTGTAATCCAAGACATTTGTTTCCTATATATGTAAAAAAATTTAGAAAAAAATCAACGTGACGGTAGAGAAACGAGAAAAGTTCCCTTGTCCCCCTCGAAGGGCGTGCGATGGGATGTGGCTTGCTTCTTCAGTGCCCCGCTGCTCAAACCTCTAGGGGAGCATACAGACAGGCAGGCTGTGGGGCTCCAACCCACGGCAGTGTCTAGGGGTGAATGTTTACAGCTCCTGAAGCCCCAGTGGGCGCGTTACAGGGCGTTCTTTTCGTTTTGCCGTCTATAGGCGGCTTGTGTTAACCAGCTCAATTAGACCCTCTACCTTGTCTTAAGGGCAGAGGGATTTCTGTATCCCAGGTTCTTGCCTTGATGTACTCGAAGAATCTGATCACACCTGGGCTTGGAGAATGAGTGCAAGGTTTTATTGAGTGGAAGTAGCTCTCAGCAGATGGGGGAGCCAGAAGGGGATGGAGTGGGAAGGTCTTCCCCTGGAGTCAGGCCGCTCAGTGGCCTGGGCTTTCCTCCAACTGCCCCCGCCAAACTGTGTCGTTCTGCTTCTGCCGGTCGGTGGCCTGCTGGCATGCTGGTGCCTGTCGGTGTGCGCCTCTCGACGTCCAGCCGCCTGTGTGTCTGCCTGGTACGGTCTTAGTGATTTTTTTTTTTTTTCTAGACGGAGTTTCACTCTGTCGCCAGGCTGGAGTGCAGTGGCAGAATCTCTATTCACTGCAGTCTCCACCTCCCCAGTTTAAGCGATTCCCCTGCCTCAGCCTCCCCAGTAGCTGGGACTACAGGCGCCCGCCACCTCGCCCGGCTAATTTTTTGTATTTTAGTAGAGATGGGGTTTCACCATGTTGGCCAGAATGGTCTCGATCTCCTGACCTCCTAATCCACCAGCCTTGGCCTCCCGAAGAGCTGGGATTAAGGCATGAGCCACTGCGCCCAGGCCAGGTCTTGGGGATTTTTATAGGCACAGTATGGGGGGTTGGCAGGCCAGGGTGATCTTGGGAAATGCAACATTTTGGCAGGAAAACAAGATCTCTGATAGATCTGTGGTTACATGTTTTTTACATGCACACACGTGCGTGTGTGCTTGCACGCGCCCCAAAACAAAGACAAAGGAAACTTTTGGAGGTGATTGTTACGTTTATTACCTTGATTATGGTGATGGAATCATATGTGTACACATGTCCTAACTTATTCAAATTGTATGGATAACGTGCAGTTTTTGTATATCAATTATACCTCAATAAAGCTAAAAACAGAAAAAGAGTAAGTTTCATACCTAACTTATTCCACATGGCTTTCAAAATATAATGTAATCTCATCCAAATCAAAGTCTTACCTACCTAATGTCACCAACTTCATCTCTTACTCTTATTCAGGAAAAATATTCTCCTCAGAACAGTCTCAATGTCCCTCAAACACACTGCTCCATTCCATATCCTGCTTATAATCATTCTACTCCACCTATTTAGAAGTACCATTTCTATTTGCCATTGATAGTAACCTCCTCCACATAGCCATCCCTGATTTCTAAAGCACATAATGGATGCTTGCATGACGTCATTCAAATTCTGACTCACTTGCACACTGTGTTGCATTGTTTACTCTTTTCTAAAAGGTTTTAGTGTAGTCTTGTAATTGACCTCCATAAGGACATGGACCATGACTTACAAATTCCTGTATCTTTTCAACACAAATCTCATTTTAGTTGCTTAATAGAAATTATTTGACTGAAGATTATATAATTCCTCTAAGTAGAGAGGTGAAAATGAAATAAAAAATAATTTAATTTTATACCAAGGATTCTCCCCTGTTCATATTGTGTATATTTCAATGAACAAATCTAATACTTTTCAGAGTCCTTATTCGTACTTATATGGAAGGAAAGTGCTGGGAAGGAAAGGGCATGATCCCTTTAAATGATATGGAACGGGGAAGGGACGTGGGATGGGAAGGGGAAGGGGGTGGTCCCTGGCTAGGGCTCTACTCCTGGGCCTGTGCCCATGGACCTGGGTGAGGACAGACATTTTTGTTTTGAGAAAAAGAGAGACCACCTTCACGTAACTTTTATTATAGTGTATAATTGTCCTATTTTATTATTAGCTGTTAATTTCTTGCTATTCCTAATTTTGAAATTAACTTTTATCATAGATATGTGTGTAGAGGAAAAAAACATAAAATATATAGGGTTTGGTACTATTCATGGTTTTGAGATTGGGTATTTCCCTTGACCCCTTCATGCGACTCATGAAGCGGTGACTCGTTTGCTCAACTGCCACCATCAATCCCTTACCGGAGGGAGCACACAAGCCAATGGGTGCAGGAACTGAAGTGAATGAATGCCGGAATAGGCTGGTCACTCCTCTCTGGCAGAAGCAGGCTGTGTGTGGGCCCTGTGGCAGCGTCCAAGCGTGTTACAATGCTCTTTTAGCTCTGCTGTCTGGGAGGGGGTGTCAACAAACCCCAGATCCCTAGAGGGCATGTGTTACAATCAGTGCTTTTAGTATTTGTCATTCACAGATGGCTAAGTGCTAACCAGCTCAGTGGAGGGTCAGGGTGACAGCCTTTTACACCCTGCCCTCTTGGTACCTGAGTTCTTGTCCAGCATCCAGGAAGAATCAGGTCACATGAATGAATTGAAGGGTGGTGTATGTGGAAAATTTTATAGAGTAGTGAAGGTGGCTCTCAGAGGGAAGGGGAGCTGGAAGGGGGATGGAGTGGGAAGATAATCTTCCCCTGGAGTCCCGCCTGGGGACAGTCAATCTCTTCTCTGAAGTCCCACCATCAAGCCTTCCCTCCAAAGTCAAGCTGCTTTTCTCCAAAGTCCAGCTGCTTCTTCTCTTCTCTCCTTCTCTGCCACTATGCTGTGCTTCTCTGCTAGAGGAGCTTGGGATTTTTATGGGTACAGGGTGTGGGGCAGAGCAGGACAGGGTGGTTTTGGAAAAAGCAACATTCCGGCGGGAAAATTGGGATGTGAAGTTCTCATTTAGGGCCATGAGTCCAGGCTTAAGGGTGGAACCCTCGCCAGAGACTCCACCCTTTCAACCCAGTATTCCCTGCCTCCTGTCTGTATCTGTTTTAGGTACCCACTGAGGGTCTTGGAATGTATTCCCCGAGGATCAGGGCAGATTACTATAGCTCGTAGAAGTATCTGCATTCCCAGGTTCATTGCAGAATTATTCACAGTAGCCAAGATACAGAAACAACCTAAGTGTTCATTGACAGATGGAGTTCCCTCCATTTACAGCAACATGGGTGAACCTGGAGTACACTATGCTAAGTGAAATCAGCCAAACAGAAAGACAAATACTGCATAATCTCCCTGATATGTGGAATCTAAAAAAATAAAAGTTGAACTCATGGTAACAGAGTAGAATGGTGGTTGCCAGGGACATGGGTCAGGGAAAGGGGAAGATATTGGCCAAAGGGTACAAACCTTCAGTTATAAGACAAACAAGTAATAGAGATCTAAAGTACAGCATCATGACTATAGCTAATAATAACGCATTTTATATCTTAAATTTGCCAAGAAAGCAGATTTCAAGTGTTCTCACTATATACAAAAAAATCTAACTATGTGAGGTGATGAATATGTTAATTATCTTGAGTTTGGTAATCATTTCACAATGTATGTGTATATAAAAACATCACATTGTATAACCTAAATATATGCAATTTTTATTTGTCAATCATACCGCAATAAAGCTGGTGAAAAAACAGAAATAAAACAGGTACAGAAATAAAAACATTTCATGATCTCACATATGTAGAATCTAAAAAACTGAATACACAGAAACAGAGTAGAAAGGTTGTTACTAGGGGCAGGACCAGGTTGGGGGAAGATGAGGAGATGTAGGTCAAAGGGTACAAAGTTGCAGTTATGTAGGATAAATAAGACTAATGTGCATATCACATATTTTATCCTGTAAATTTGCCAAGATGGTAGATTTCAGGTCCTTTTACACAAACAAAAGTAAATGTGAAGAAATGTTGATTTGCTTCACTGTAGTCATCATTTCACTGTGTTTACGTACAAGGATAACAAAACATGATGTTATACACCTGAAATATAGGCAATTAAAATTGTATGCCTATAAAATAAAATGTTTTTAAACCGACAAAGGAAAAAAAGATTATCTGTAAAGTTGCCATAATCAATGCAATGTGAAATTGACATAAGAATAGACAGATCAAAGAAATAGAAGAGAAAGTCCAAAGTAGCCCCACCCATCATTCTTCGACTGAAACCTCATAGCAGCTCAGTAGGAAAAGATGTCTCTTAAACAAATTATGCTGAAACAACTGAATATTCACATGGGGACAAAATGAACATCAATCTTTACTCCAGACCACAAACAAAAATTAATTTGAGATGGGTCATAGATACAGAGAAAATTAAGCTATAAAGCTTCTAGAAAAGAATACAAGAGACTATCTTTAAGACCTAGTAAGAGAAATGTACTATTTTGTTCTTTTAACTTAAATTATTCTATAATCCTTTTTCCATGCTGCTAAAATAATTTTGATAGCCAATAATAATGACCATATGTTTTATTAAGTCAACACATTATATTTTGCCTAATGTTATCCATATCTGAATATTTAAATGCCATTGTTCTTGCCATTTGAAATGAATTGGCATTACATATATTTTTCCTTTAGAATAATTTCTCAATATTAGACTCCTAGGGCCAAAGTATATAAACATATCAATTTATCTTATTTGTATTTAAAAGTTCCTTTTCTGAAGGATGTTACCAATGTGTTTTAAACTTCTGAATGAACCATGCTGCTTTATTCCTTTGTACTTTCACAAATCCTGCTCTTTTTCTTCCTCCATGACTTTTTTTTTTTTGCAGAGCTGACTTTTATTATCTGTTATAAAATTTAATATTTATTCCCTTATTGCATGTTTTTTTCTCATATCTCTCCCCATTTTGAGACAGGTATTCCTCTTAAGTGCTGTCATAAAATCCTGCGTGTTCATATATTGTTGCAATCATCACCTTCAGGGGTAGGGTAAATGCCTTGTTGGACTTGTAAATTCAACTCCTGTCACTATACAAAACATAGAATAGATAATAAATACTCCTGGAATGAACACATAAATCAATAAATGCTACCAGTAGTGTAAAAATGTTGTGGGGCTTCTGTAGCTTTGTTAATATATAGTTTGATTATTTACTATTTAATATTAGTTTGCTTATTCAGTAGATATAAAATGGTATCATCATGTCACATTGTATACTATATTTTTCAAAATTAATAGTCACATTAAGGATCTATATTTATTAGTTCAATTTTCTTTGCATTAATTGTAACTTATTTCATTACATGTTTGAAATGATCATGTTGATATGTTTCTACATGTTCGATTCAATTTTAAACCTACATGTAATTTTGTATACTATTGTTCGAAAAATTTTATATTTTGGAATATATTTTATATTTTGAAATATAAATTATATCTTCTCCATTATTTGATAATGTATGTATAGTTTATCTTCTTTTAATTGAGTCCCTTCAGCATATGTGAAGTATAACATACGTAGAAATTAGAAACACAGCCTGGAAAGTGCAATGTAATGTAAGGTGAAATATTACGGTATTTATCATCTAAAATTAGAATACAGAGGAAGCATAGCCTATGTCTTCTCACCAGTATCAAGTCAGACTTTTTGCAGGAGAATTTTGACAGATTTTGAAAACAATGAATTGCATCCCAGAGAGTGGAAACAGCCTATCCAAATATACCAAAGTTTGATATAGTTAGTTTTGGAAAAATGACAAATAATTTGGTGAGTTTAGAGTGTAAGGCCTGATGGGAAAAATGGACAAGGCCATGAGACTGGGCACTGAGATACAGACAGATTATAAAAATCATTGTATATCATATTAGAGTAGATTTTACTCTAAAGTTAGTAAGGAGACATAAAATATTTTAATGCATGGGAATTAACATGATCAGATCTACTCTGCGTGTAAATATCTATGCAGAGGTTGTCATTTCTTCCAAATTACCAATGAACTTGTAAAACAAATTTCCTCTTCTGTCCCTGCCCTTCCAAAAGCACACATCATGATTACCCCTAAAGCCAAGGAGAACTGGTCGTTCTGTGCTAAGGTTGGAGATGATCCTATGTCCATCAGGGGGCGATAGAGCACAGTTTGCAGAATACGGATTATCATGTGGCCTCCAGGCTGGCACAATTTGTTGTCCAGCTACTGACTTCTTAGACTGCATCACATAACTAACATGCTGCCAGAATCCTATCTGTAGAGCTAATATAGACTAAATAGGAGATAGGGACCATGGCTGTCATATTAGTGCAGGGACAGAGACCGGGGAAAAGATCAGAAGAACTAGGGATGATTTGAAGATTCTAGGAGAGCCTGCATGTCCTTCTTTTGGATCACAGCCAAAAAGGCAAGGAGAGGACAAAAGCAAGTTTCTCATTCTTGATCAGACCTCCCTTCCACCCTCCGGGACTTGCAATGGAGACTGTGCCCAGTGACTTGCTTTCAGTTTGGTAGGTTATGCGCTTAACATTCCCATGTTGTGATAGAGAGCTTGCCCAGAGGCACGGAGCCCAATGCAGTCACCCCTTTTCTCATATTACAGGAACATGAGACTCTAAAGAGGGAGGGGATTAAATCCTATTACTGGCATATCCGTCAAAGGGAAATTCCAAGTTTTTCAGCTCCTAGGTTGCTAAGAATCAAAACAAGAAAACATTCTTATGACCAGGAGTGGCAAATTCATATTCTCAGATTCATTACGAATTTACAATATACAATTCTAAAATCTAACATACCCTGTATGTTTACTACTTCCCTTTATCTAAATGCACAGCTATAACTAGAACTATATGAAAAATTATCAAAGATTGCTGTTCTCTAAAATGAAGCATACAGTTGAGACATATTGAGTATATATTGTCTTAGGGGTGACCTTTGTTCCCCAATTGTCACAACCACTATGGATCAGTTAGCAATAAATGTCTTGAGTTTTCATGTCATCATAAATGTAACTACTTATCAGAGTTTGTGAGTGTACTTCAAACTCTCATTACAAACTTGCTGAAACTGAACATCAGATCTACTACTGTAAGGTTGACTCTGGTCTTACTATTTCATATAAATTTCTAGATCTTTGTATTCTGTTTAGTTAAAAACTATGGTCATCCTATTTCACTTCACTCATACTGTTTTTTCTCAGATGGGTGGTATTTGTCAAGAGTATATGTACTTCCAAAGAAAATGAGATTTCAAAGGAGAAACATTTCTTTTAGCTTGGAGCATTAAGGAAAGCTTTGGCAAGAAAACAATGTTTGGATGGTGTCCTGAAAAATGAGCATAATTTGGTCCTATGGAGAACAACGAAACTGACATCCCAAACAGAGGCCACATGAAGACTAGGACTCAGAGTCATCAAAAGCAGGGAATATGTGAGAAATACACCAAAATTCAGGATCCACGATAGAGCACAATGTGAGAAACATGGCCTAACACGGCAACAGAATAGCTTAATTTAGGACTGAACTGGAGAATCCAGACCATGTTGTCAGCGTTGGTTTGGAAAATTACAAAGGAGTTTGAGTTGGCTTGTGGAGAAGTCAAAAATAAAAGAGAAATAGGAATAAAATTGGTGACAGAGATCAGAACCAGATGTTAAAAAGCTTCAAATGTTAAACTCAATATAGTCAGCCTTGACATCAATAGGAAATGGAAACATACCAAAGAAATTTTTAGCAAGAGAGCAAAATGATTTTGTCAATGTTTTATATGGCAAAACTGGCAGCAGTTAAAAAAACAAAGTGAAATTACAGAAATGAAATCATGATTGAGAAATATAAGCAATTAGGTTAGTTTTTTTCAGAAATATTTGTAACTAGATGACTGTGGTTTAAAATTTAAAAGAAAAAGGTATTGAAATGCCCTATTGAGGAACAGGGTTGACTACTCTCACCCGGGATTAATTATTTAAGGTGGCGGGACCAAAACAAAACCTAACTAGTCAGGCCCTTCCACTCTTGAGCTATACTCAAAAGAGAGCTTAACCTCAGTGAATCTGTTACGTATAAAGACTTCCTCCTTTGAGAAACTCTATTTCCCTCTTTCTCTCTCTCTCTTTAAAATGCAAAACAGAATTTATTTACATAATTGTTTGAATAGTTGTATTGCCTTTTACTTCATTATTTTTTAAAATGATAAGACATCTCACAATCTTGCATTTATTTGCTTTCTTTTTAAAATTTTTAGCTTTTTTATTTCAATAGGTTTTTGGAGAACAGGTGGTGTTTGGTTACATGAGTAAGTTCTTTAGTGGTGATTTCTGAGAGTGCTGATGGGTGATGACGGGTGCACCCATCACCCGAGCAGTGTACACTGTATCCAGTGTGTAGTCTTTTATCCCTCACCACCCCCTACCCTGAGTCCCCAAAGTCCAATTCATTGTTCTTATGCCTTTGCATCCTGATAGCTTAGCTCCCACATATGAATGAGAACATGTGATGTTTGATTTTCCATTCTTGAGTCACTTCACTTAGAATAATAGTCTCCAATTCCATCCAGGTTACTGCGAATGCCATTATTTCATTTATTTTTATGGGGCTGAGTAGTATTTCATGATATATATATGTTATATATATTATATATATTATATATAATAATTATAATATATAAAATATATATAATATATAATATAGTAGTATATTCCATTGTATATATACAATAGTGTATACTGTATATACACCATTTCACGGTGTGTGTGTGTGTGTGTGTATATGTGTGTGTATATATATATATATAACCTTTTCTTTATTCACTTGTTGATTGATGATATACTTTCTTATGTAATTTTCACAACGGTTCCATGAGATAAGTAGAATTACTCTCATAATTTTCCCCATAACAAAGCAGACTTAGATCCAGGTATTTTTCTTCATAATATCTAAGATTTATCCGGAGACCCTGCCCATGAGCTCAAGGAGAAATGAACAGTGTATGGGTCACAACTAAGAATCATGAAGTGAATAATTTCATTAGATGAAGTTTTGGGGGAAGGATCAAGTCCTGAAGTATGCAGCAAACTTCCCACAGAAGTAAGCAAAGCTACAGAACAGATCTGATGAAAGAGGTGGAGAGCAGCCATCACTGGGTGGTGTCATGGAATCTAGGAGGAAAGAGCCTTCGTGTTTATTTATTTGGAGGATGCTAGAAAGAACAATTTTGACAGAGTGGACTGGGAAATAAACCAGTAGATCTGAGGATTCAGACCACTGATGGGAGAGGTTTGGTAGTTTAAAGAAGCTCTGTGATAATGATCATTGGATCTGTGAGCAGATGACTTTGAGATTTTCAGTACCCTCCTGGTCATGTGTCTTATGAGCATAAGTGTCAACCATATCTTGCTGACTATGAGACTTTCCACTTGATAAAACTGAGCATCTCTTTATCTGATCCTCTGTGGGGATTATCATGAGTTGGGAATGTGTTTTAAAAGAGATGCTCGATTTTCCTGTGGCTTATGCTTCAGTGTCTACTATCACTAATACATAAGTAGGTTAGCATGCACAGGGGCTTAGCATGATTCATTTAAGTTTGGAAAATTAAGAGCCCATGTTATGTATGATCTTAAACATATAACAAGTAGTATGTAACAAAATATAACATGATTCACTCACATTTGCAAAAAGTTTAAGTGGTATAATTCACATAATGTAGGGCAGAGAAACTAGAGTTCTGATCCAGTCTTAGTCCTGCCATGAGGTTGCTGCATGCGCTCCAATAATGCAGGAGAAAGAGTCCTTGGTGGTAAATGGCTGAGTTGGTACAACCTACATCTGATGGTGCAGAGGTCAGTGGGTGTTAAGTGTTAGGTACTTCCCACAGGGGTAGAAGAGAGCAGATTCCTCTCCATTCTGTTGGTGGAGTGCTCTGCCCACTCTATTCTTGGCACTGGCTGGACTTGCAAATGCTCTTGGCTGAGCTAAGTCATAACCAGCCTCCACACTTTTATTGAATCTTCATTGCCAAGTTCTCCTTTGATTCATAGAGAAGTAAAGTGTCCACATAATTTATTTTACACATCAGAACACTTTTTAGAGTGTTAACACTATTAAAAATCATGTATAAACTATCCTGGCAAATCTGAATATATGGCCTTTTCTACAAAGGGCACTTCATGATAAGAAACTCGTTCATGATTAGGCTCCATTCTACCATCTCCTTCTCTCTTCCTGCTTTCTCCTGTCTTTCACTTCCGCCTCCAATCATCTTTTATTATAACAATATCGTTCTCCCTGGAAATAGTGTGCTTGGTACATACCCATGCTTCCACAAGATGTCCCCTGCTTTCTGATTCCGCACTTTCTAACCCTCTGTCTGATGTTTATTCACACTCCCCTCCATGCATCCCTCATAGCCTGGCTCACATCCCACCTTTCCTGCAAAGCCTTCCCAAACAGCCTAGGCAGAAATAATTGGTCACTTCTCCATGCTCTCATTGCTTCTCAGAATTTATGATGCTGATGTAATGAAATTATTAAAAGAAAGATCACTGGAGACTGTGAGAATTGGAGAAGGAAGAAGGAAACACTAAAAGCAGCTCAATAGTCAAAGACAGATTTATGATGGAGAATAAACTTGAGAGGGGTTTCTGGCCAAGTTAGGTCAGGAGCACTCTCTCTTACAGACTAAGAGTATTTAAGGGTTTAGGGCAGAGAGCTTATCACAGGCTCAGAATGTTTCTATGTCTCTTTGTCTTGCTTATCTGGGAGGGAGAGTTTTTGTGTCTGTTCCTGTACATCTTCCTGCAGCTGCAGGCTTACCCCCCAGAGTCTGCTTTTAGCTTCCCTATCTTAGTGCACCTAAAGAGAAAGGAATGTGCTTATTAGGGCCCACTGTTTTACTGGGGCCCATTGTATGAGTGTAAATTTGGTGGTTACCCAAGAGACTTTCCCCCCTCCCTCTGTGCCCAAGCTGTCTTATCTGTGTTTTACTGTCTGCTCTTTCTGGCTGCTTGTTGTTAGAAGAGAAGTGATTTCCTTGAAATACATGAGGTTAGAAAGGGAGCTGGAACTTAAAATGGTGGTGTTTGTCCAAGATGACGGTGTTCCTGCTCTGTGAGAGACAGCCTGCAAGACATCCTAGCTTTGTGACTTACTAGCTGGAAACATTTCTTAACTTCTGTGTGTCTCAGTTTTCTCCTGTATAAAATGAGATAATAGGATTATGGTGAGGACCGCATGAGTTAATGTAGGTAAAGTAAAGCGCTTGAGAGTAATACCTAGCACGCGGTAAGCCCTAAGAAAGTGTGTCCTGCTGTTATTATCACAGTTTATTATGGACCATCTATTCTGTATGATTCTAAAAACAGATGGTGGACTCCTTCAGGGCAGGGATCTTACCCATCTTTATCAATTTAGCATAACAATAGTATCTGCTGCAAAACAGGAATTTAATAAATACCGACTGAATTACTTCTCTAGCATGTCTATGGGAAAGAGATTTGAGGATATCTGTGCCGATCTTTGGCCAAATCGACGTAGAGAAAAACGTTTAGATAGATAGATAGATAGACAGACAGACAGACAGATATAGATATACATATACACTTGCTCGTCTGCCTTCTTACTTCTCCTGCCAATCATAAATATCTTTCTCGAGCTAGATAGTATCTCATTTCTATTACTTCCCAGGAAATTTGCTTTTGAAAACAGAATGTGGGATTTGAGAGGAAATTCATTCTTAAATGGCAGAATTTCAGGCATGAAAATATATTTTGAAATCAGTGCTCTAACTGCCCTGATGGAGCAGCCTCCTTCATGGAAACGTTCAGGTTGACTCGCTGTGTGCATGTTGAGCTCCTCTCCATAGTGAGAATGTTAGCGAGATCCCTGGTCTGGATCCTCTTTAGGGAATGCTGGATGCTGTATTGTTCCCATCATAGACTGTCATGCCTCAGGTCTCCCAGGGCCTCCCAAACTGAGGGTTCAGAGAAGAAATTCTTGAATAAAGTGAATAAACACATCTTGTAAATGGTTTGTTTTGTTAAAGATGTAAATATTCCTGAAATAAAAGTTGTTTTTACTTTAAGAATGTTTGGGAGCAGAAGGGATGGGAGAAATCCTTGGAGGTGCTAGACCTGGCTTTTCTTTGTGAAACTAATTATTTATCTTCTAAAGCGAACAGCTCAACTGAAAAGAGGAAAAAAAATGTCCACTGCCATGGAAAATGTTGTTTCTTATTAAGAAAGGAGGAGGAGAGAAAAATTAAAGCATAGACTGCTACCTCACAGTCTCTGTTAAGCAAGTTAGAACAGCAGAAAACATACAAGAGCTTTTCTGCTCTTACTGTGAATGATCTCAAACAGGTTTGTATAGGAAGTACAGCTTTAGAGTATATTGGAAGAACTATGGTAGATAGGTGTTTTAACTCTGGTAATAGCAAGCTACTAATTAACGATTCATTATTAAGAAACTTTAAAAATAACTGAAATCTCAAAGGATTCTACGTTTGAGAATGGAATCAAAACAGTTATGTAAGTTGTGATTAATATCAGATATAGTTAAATCAGTAATAGAAAATAGATTTTGTAACAGTGGATCAGCATTCCTTTAAAAACGGATGTGACATTTTGTCTTTATTTGTTCACTTTGTCTTATAATGTTAATAAGAAACACATATACCAGAGAAAAGGGAAAATGCAGTCCCATTATTACCATTCCTCTGGAATGTTGAGTTACATCTGAAACCATTTTGGGGCCAGGGAGGGGCTCTGAGATCTTTTGTTAGATTTTCCCTTGGCCAATAACAGAGCCTTTGAGATGTCTCTATGAATCCTTAGAAGGCGAATTCAACAAGCTAAATGAAATCAATACTGGGGCTCAGAGAGAGGATTGTGAGCTGCTGGATCAAGGATCATTGCCCAGATCGGGTGAGAAATCAGTAACTGAAAATCAACAGCCATCTCCTTACATTGGTCAGGAAACTTCCTAACGAGAGAAGTGGAGCACAGGTGACAGAAGAAGGCATATGGTGGGTGTTTGGAGACAGAGCTTTCTTTCAAGCTGTTGCTGATTTTTGTATTCTCAGTCATCTCTCCTCCTTCCAGCAATCCTCAGTGATACAAAGATTCCAGTGCCTTCATCTATGGCTCTTGTCTGTTTTTTACTGGAAGAAGACATGAAGATGTGGCACTTCTGATTCCTGTGTGGCCCTTCTTTTTTGAGTCTCCGTTGCTGTGTCCCTCTTCGTATGCCTAATCGTTTCTCACCCTGGCCTCTGCTGCAGTGAGATGCCTTGCCCACTTGAGGCCTCTGCCATCTACGTTCTGGAGTTAAGCCCACCATTGACTCCCTTGGTTACCATTTCCTTCATAAGAGTGGGAGAAAATATCTTTATCTTGGATGTAAGATGCTTCTTGGGCTGGCATGGATGAAGTCAACTGCTCCCTCTTGGTTTCTTATCTCTTCTTAGTTGGAAAGATTTTTAAGCATTTTGGAAGCAGTTTCTTAGTGTTTAAGCGTAAAAGCCTTGCATTCATATCCTGGGCCTCTCACAGTAAAATGGGAACAATAGCACAAATATCAAAGATTGTTTTGAGGATTAAATGAGATAGTTTTACACAGCATTTATGATAATATCTGACAAATAATCAGGGCTCTATAAAAGATAATCTTCATACTACTGAACCAAAGACAGAAATTTAAGGCACAAATGAGTGAAGAGGCTACTAAGACAATTATATACTTGACAGTTCCAAGGATACAGAGAATTCTGGCAGGAAGCTTTGCAATTCGGGTGTCATGCTTAGGAGTTTTTGAAAAGGGATAAAAAGGAGAATATGAAGCTGAATTTATTTTTGTTACATCACAGTGGATTGGGAAGCTTTCTAGTTGGAATTTTAATAACACGGTGCTTAGTATTTTGGTAAGAGGTGTAAAGAGGTAAAATTATGTGTACCCTAGGCAGTTAATACAACGAATCCAGGAAAATGCTGAGTGTCTCTGTCTTCTGTGGGATTTCAGATCTAATCAGTGGCTCCACAAAGCTTCTGTGTAGCTGTTTTTGAGCCAAAGTAGATAACTTTGATGCACATCAAAAAATGAGGATGTTGCATGAGGCCAAATGTAAGTATAAATATTTTATTTACAATTTTTTTTGGAAGAGCAGAATTGTTTGGTAGGTAATGAAATGATCCTTGAAGCTTTACCAAGTCTAGCAAGCTCAAATGAATATCCAAGAGGTAAGGGTGAGGTTCAGGTGTTAAAGAAAAGGCAGAAACACCTTTAAAGTTATGGGTAGAAACAAAAGATACACATCATAGTTTTTAATCTTACAAGGTACCCCAGAGATCAAAAAGTCCAGAAGCTTTCAAACTTTCTCCAGTAGAATCTTACCTAGAAATCTAATACATATGATAACTAAACAGAAAGTTCTCACTAAGTATATTTAACATGGAAATCTCAGGATAAATTCACTGGAGTCTCGGGGCTCCTTGAATCAAGTTTGGAAAGCCATTGGCCCAAGCCATTAGCCTGACCTGATAAAGCTACTAAATTGTTACCACACTACTTGCCACACTAATAGCTGGTAGCAAGATGGAAACAGACCCAAATCTAATATACTAGACACAATGCTTTTTACTTTCCTTAGGCAGTGAGGCTAACCCAATCTGCCTAAAAATGTTTAGACAGAGCAATCAGGTATGGGGTCAGACATGGGATGAACATCCTTGCTGACAAATTCTAAGTTATTCCCTTTCCAGATATTTGGGGAGGAAAAAAAAACACTGCATCTTGACTCTAGTCCTTAGTCTGTTAATATATTTTTAAAATTATATTATTCTCTCAATCAGTTATTTAAAATCTCTTTTCTTTTTATTGCCTTTCCCTATAGGTTTGTCTCACAAATAGTATGAGGGGAGTAAATTGAGAAAAGTGATGCAAAAAAAAAAAAAAATGGCAGGATGGAAAAGATCTTCCTTCCAGGGACAGGCAATTCTCTATAGAAGAAAGGCAAAGTAACAATAAACAAGACTATATGACTTTGAAGATAGGTGAAGAGGCAGAACCTAGACAATAAAATAAAATATTGCAAAAAGATAATGTATTATATATAGCATAATGGTCCATATCATTCAGCACAGTGCTGAAAATTCCAAGTCATTGTCACATATGAAGATTCCAGAATGAAATTTCTTAGGTCAAAGCAAAAGGAATTCCAGAGCCATGCACCCATTTATCTGCTCTTACTAACTCTCAGGAACATGGCCTGTCCTGTGCAATATTGTTTTCAGGGCTGTTTTTACTTCCTTATTCCTCAAGGTATAGATCAAAGGGTTCAGCATTGGTCCTACCAGATTCATGAGAATTTGTACCACGGTTCCCAGCATGGGGTTGGGTGTGGGCTGCAGGTAGACAGTGATGATGGGCCCATAGGCACAGAGGATGGCAATGAGGTGAGCACTGCAGGTGGAGAAGGCACGGCGACGGCCCTCAGTTGTACGAATGCTTAAGATAGATATTGTGATTCTAGTGTAGGATAAAAGAATTAGCAGAAAGCAGACAAGAGATATGAGGCCAACGTTGGTGAAGCTCACCCTCTGGGCTAAGGATGTGTCAGCACAGGCCAAGGGCAACAGTGCTGGAATGTCACAGAAGAAGTGATCCACTTCATTGGGACCACAGTATGGCAAGGTGAAGGTGAGGGAGGTCAAGATACTGGAATGAATGCACCCTAACAGCCATGTGCCCACAGCCAGGGCCACACAGATCCTTGGGTTCATGATGACTGTGTATCGCAGAGGATAACAGATGGCAGTGAAGCGGTCATAGGCCATCACCGTAAACAAGAAGCACTCAATGCTCCCGAGGAAATGGAAGAAGAAAAGCTGGCAGACACAGTCTTTGTAGGAGATGAGTCGGCTCAGCCCCATAAGGTAGAGCAGCATTTTGGGACAAGTCACTGAGGAGAAACCCATGTCAAACACAGACAAGTTTCCCAGGAAGAAATACATAGGTGTGTGAAGGCGAGCAGAAGACATAACAGCAACAAGGATAGACACATTTCCCAGTAGAGTGCAGGCATAGAAGGGCAAGAATAAGACAAAAAGTGTCATCTCCAGCCCCTCTGTGTGTGGGATTCCCAAAAGGATGAACTCTGTCACCATGCAGCAGTTCTTCACCTCCATGGAAGCCAGTCCTAGGAAGGAAAGAGGAGGCTGAGGACATGGAAGAATGCCTTGGCTTGCTGTCAATCAAGTGAACATACTGGAGAAATAAAACTTGTCAATTAAGTGACTGTGATTTGCATCTAAGTTATGGAAAGGCTGCTTGTGATTCAAGTTACAAGGCATTATCCTTGGAATGTAACCGCCATAGCCAACTACATTTCTGTAGCAAATATTTTTGTTATACTTATTCGAAATACAAATGCCCATTATTAAAACAATATTCTGACCTTGTTAGAGCAAAGATTTTTAAAGAGAGGGCAGGATCCATCCAAACACATGCTCCTCCTCCCGGGGTAGAAGGATGTGAAATGTCAGGATTATTTGAGGGCTTTTTTATATCACTGGAGATATGAACCACAATTCGGGAATCATCATATTTGTAAGCCATTATTAGCAACAACGTTAGATTTTATGTCTACGTTTTTTAAGGGAATCATAAAGGTTGATCCCTGCTTTGCAGTTCAAAACACTTATACAACATGATCTCCGTTCATCTAATCCTGGCAGTCACTTTTTGAGGAGGTCTACAGAAAAGATTACATTTGAGCAGTAGGAAGGCTAGGTGACTCTCCTAAATTAAGGCAGCTAGTTCTTGGTAGAACTAGGCATCTACATTCTTTTTTTTTCTTTTTAAACATCAGTCTTTCCCCCGGGTCTGGATGGATCCATCTGTGATAGATCACGGCATTACTGGCCTTGTCAAATCTTACCCCGGTATTAACCATGTTTTTCATTTGGACATCACCAGGCTCTTAAAATGTTGTTCCTCCTCCTCCTTAGTAAGCAATGGAAAATCAATATATATCCAGCTACCTCCCCACACACACACAAATATAACATCTAGGAGAGTAAATATTTTTTGTGTTTACGATTATACTCTCAGTGCAAAGAACAGTGCCTTTTTCAATAAACGTTTGATGAAGGAAATAAGATAACTCACTCAATGCCTGGCAAGAATTGGATATCATTCCTCTTGTGCAAGGATCTGTGTGGTACTATCAGATAGTAATTTCTCCTCACAGTCTTCTAAAGCAACTTGATCATCTACCTGTTTCTCTTTTGCCCATTTCCTGTATATTTGGAATTTCTCTGTTTACAATCATGTCACCTGCACTCCAGAAGAAGCTCTACACTACATTCCAAAAAGCAATCAGACCCAAGACAAGTGCTACATATAATCTATACTGCTTCCAAAAATGTCCTGGCTGTCATACATCAAAGAAAGAATCAAATGAAGATATCCACATATGGGCTCATTTAGAGTTTCTGTTACTTTAATAATATAAAATCAAGTCCAAATTCCTGATTGTAAAGTGAAATAACAAGAATGGGGTTTGTGAGCTGATGGGCCAGCACAATGGGCTCAAAGATAAACCAAGCAAATAAGATCTATTCTTCTGGCCAGTAGATCCATGCTCTCTGTTCATTCTGAATTCTGAGAATACTTTGTAAACTGAGGACTCCAAATTTTCCTCTCCATTGGATACACAAAGCATAAAAGAGGAGTGAAAAAAGAGGTGAGGGCCCCTATAATTTCAGCTACTCTGGAGACTAAGGCAGGAGAATTGCTTGAACCCGGGAGGTGGAGGTTGCAGTGAGCTGAGATCGTGCCACTGCACTTCAGCCTGGCCAACAGAGTGAGACTCAGGGAGGGAGGGAGGGAGGGAAGGAGGGAAGGAGGGAAGGAGGCAGGGAGGGAGGGAGGGAAGGAAGGAAGGGGAAAGAAAGAAAAAAAAAGAAAGAGAAAAAAAGAGAAAGAAAGAGAAAGAGAGAGAAAGAGAGAGAGAAAGAGAGAGAGAAAGAAAGAGAGAGAAAGAGGCAAAGATGGCACTTATGTAACTTACAAAGAGAAAGTATGATCATTTAATCATCTGTTTGTATAGGATTTTTAGTCCAAATTTTCCTTTGGCATATTAGAGGTTAGGGATCTCCACCCATGATCTGGAATGCTTTCTTCTTAGCCAAATAAACTCTGACTAAATGACATGCAGCAGCGTGCGTCTCTGTCTTCTGCACAGACATCTTCCAAGACACTGATATCTACATTGCTTTCTCCTACGTGGAAATTTAAATATCTTTGGAGCCTTTGGGACCCCATTCCTGAATGAGTCCTATTCAAGGAGGTTGTTGAGCAAAGGGAGTAATTAGAAGTGAGTAAACTGTCTAGTTGAAATAGAATATGGTGATGTTTCCCACTGTGACAGTGCTGGATAGGAACAAGGGGGAGCCAAATCTCTATTTTCTACCTCTAAGATTGACCCTGGGAAAGGAGAAAAAAGGTGAATGGTATAGCCCAATCCTAGGACATATGTAGAAACCAGTTACCCAGTTTCAGGATACATTATCGGAATGAGAAATAACCTAACAACCATATATCTCAGACTTTTAAAAATATCCAATTTTAAATATTTTAATCTCAGTTTCTTCATAGTTCTTGCCATGAACTGAATTGTGTTCCTTCAAAAATTCGTGTTGAAACTCTTAACACACCCAATCCACGTAACTGTATTGGAAGTAGGGTCTTTAAGAAGGTGAATAAAGTTAAATGAGACCATAAGGATGAAGCCCTGATGCAATAGAACTGGTATCTTTGTAAAAGGAGAGACATCAGATCTCTCTCTCTGTCTCTTTCTCTCTCTCTCTCTGCCTGTCTTTTTCTCTCCCTTTATCTCTCCATGTGAGAACACAGCAAGAAGACAGCCCCATCTCTAAGCCCCAGAAACCAAACCCTGCTGCAAAACCTGTGCAACCTTGATCTTGAATTTTACAATCTGCAGAACTGCGAGAAAAAAAATTCCTGTTGTTTGTGTCACCTAGTATATTCTGTTTTGTTATGGCAGCCCTAGTGAACTAACATAGTTCTTCTACTTTTCAGACTATGGTTTCTAATATTTTGATATAGAAATAGAATTTCTTTTCCTAGACTCCAACAAACATTTGTCAATTGGCACAGCTGAATTTCCTGAACCAGAAATAGTTCTCCTGATGATATTCCCAGAATTATATCAAAGTATTATTCAACAAACATTAATTAATAACCTATACAACCAAGAATAAGACAAATTTCCTTAATCTTGACCTTCTCTTCTGTGAAAGGAGTCAAGAACCTTGCCCTTTGAGATTCCAGACATTTGTAATCTGGAAATTATTCCTCTTTCATGTAACGTAACAGTTACAGAGTTGTCAAAGAACTGAAAAATATGTAAAAACCTGAAATAATAAAGTAGAGAAAACAAAAGAAAAGAGGTCAGCAATGCTAAATTTGGCTCTTTGAAAAGACTAAGAAAATAGAAGTACTTCTTTAAAAATGATTCTTGAAAAAAGTGAGAAGGCACATATAAACATGAGGAATGAAAGGATGACAGAAGCACATGGATTAAGCAGAATGAAAAGAGATATTACAACATTTGCCAAGATATTCAAATGATTTGTCAAAATAATTTATCAAATGCTTATTAATTTGTGAAAACTGACTAAAAATAGAAAATATGAAGAGTCGTATGTAAAAGTTTCTATTGCTTACTGCATAACCAATTACTCCAAACTTTTGTGGCTTAGAGGCATTTATTATCTCATGCTTTCTGTGACTCAGAAATCCAAGCACACCTTAACTCAATTCCTCTGGATCAGGGTCTCTCATGAAGTTACAGTCAAGCTACCAGCTGGGGCTGTGGTCTCCTCTGAAGGTTTGACTGGGAAAGGATCTATTTCCAAGCTTACTCACATGGCTACTGGCAGACCTGGCCCTGTCCACAGAACTGTGTCATAACATGGGAGCTGACTTCTCCCAAGGCAACCAAGTCAAGAGACAGTAAGATCGGGCCAGTGAACCCAAGATGGAAGGCACCACCTTTTATGATCTAATCTCCAAAATGATACTTCTTCAACTCTACTCACTAGAACCACATTCTATTCACTAGAACCAAGTCACTAAATCAGGGCAGGTGATTACACAAAGCATGAATCCTAGAAGGTGGGAGTCACCAGGGGCCATATGAGATGCATTGTAGGACAGTGGGGGAACGATAAACTATTAAATAAGTGATCCTGGGACAATTGGCTATTTGTGTTTTTTAAAAGTAGAAGGGAATTGAATTCTTACCTTGGTCATGAGCAAGAACCAATTCCAGGTGGATTAAAGATTTAAAAGCGAAAAAATAAAAATAAAATTAAAGGCAAATTAAAGGTAATATGTTATTTCTAAGTAAGACACAATAATCTTTAATCATAAAAGAAAGTTTTGGTAAGTCACCTTAAAGGAAGCCATTGATTTTATCAAAAAAATGGCTTAAAGCTAATAAAAAGAGAAGCTGCAAACTAGGGGAAGATATTTGCAGGACATCTTACCAAGAAAAGATTAGTATCCAGAATACATACAGAACTACTATGAATCAATTTTATAAAAGTCCAAATACTCAAAAGAAAATGAACTAAAAAATAGCATAAATTTTCCAAAGGAGGAAACCTAAATTGTCATTAAACATATTAGAAGATGCTTAACTTTACCAGTAATCAGGGACCAAAATTTTACAATGCAATATATACATTCACATACCATCAGATTGGCAGATACTAAGAAGGATGTTAATATAAAGTGTTGAAGAATGGAAGTGCTGTGAAATATCATCCACTGAGGGTATGAATGTATTTGTTATAATCATTACATTTTGGAAAGCTCTTTGGCATTCCACTCCTAAATATATCTTTTTAGAGAAACTCTTGAAGTGGTGACCCAGTGACGTGCAGAAGAATGTTTTTAACAGTAATTAAAAATCACCCACATGTCTGACAACCATAGACCAAATAAATATATAAAGATGTAAAATTACAGCTATATGCATCAAAATGAATGAATCTCAAAAGTAAGTTTGAAAAGGAAAAAAGCATCATGTTTGAGCATATTTAAACAAATTTCAAAACCAGAAAAAACTAAATAATATATTGTTTGGGAATGCATACATAGGTGGTAAATAAATAAAATAAAGAAATTTCCTTAACAAAAATTCAGATTGCTATTAACTTCTGGGAGGATAGGACTAACAGAAATACACAGAAAGAATGTCTAGATTATATTCAATTTCTATACCAGCTATAAGGAATACATGTGTTCATTAATAGTCTTTCAATTTTGTAATATATTTAAAATTTGCAGAATATTTAAAAATATTTTACATAATAATTTTTAAAACTGGCTGAAATAAATTGAAAAGTATATTATTAAATTTATTTTAAATACTATGATATAAATTAATATAAATAACATATAAAACAGATACGTATTTATTCCCAGCCAATAAAAAGCACGTACCATTTAATTTATTTAAAATTAATTATGAAAACCACAATTTATTGAACACATAATTTTTTAAATGCTGAATTATGCCATGTTTGGCTTGTTCACCAAATATATATTAAAATACGGAGTAAAATTTTAGGACTTGTTAGGGTGTGAAAATGAACAAAACCGGTTTTCAAAACACATTCTTTAGAATGTTAGCATTTCATAGTTAAAGAATTTAAATAATGTTGGAAAGGGAAAGACTCAGGCTTCTATTTGTAAGCACTTCTCAATTTTTTATAACCAGGTATATGGTGTCTATCCTCAGAAATGAAATAAAACTGGGAGTAAAATTGTCACTGTATATTTTAACAACATTTTTGAAATACCAGAATATGATGAAATGAATACAATTTCTTAAGTGCAACATGAGCCAAGCATACGTGATTAATGCCAGTCTACTTATCATGTTTATTTATTTTGAGCTCAACATTATTTTTCCTCATATTTCCTCTAGTTAATCACTAGTCCAAAATGGGTATAAATTATATATAAATGAGAAGACAAACACTTTAAGACTATAATGGTTAACATAAGCAGTTGTTATTTTTGCATATCACCAAATCAGTGACTGAAACATGAGCATATGTCCCCACATCCTTTATTGCACGTGTTCACTCAGACCACACGTACAGAGGCTCTCAAAAAATTTTATATGGATGAAAAGGTATTAAAATATTTTTCTTAATGTGTGTTTGTTTTTAAGAATCATATTGGAAAAGAGTGCACTATTGCTATCCCTACCTATATGAAAGGTTAGAATTATTTTTTTGGATCTCTGGAGGCTTTCAAACCCCTGATTTGAAAATGTTGCCCTGCAGAATTCAGAATATCCTCTGCAGCACTCAGAATGCATTCCTGCACTTCCATGAACAGGAATGACACTTTTTCAAGGCCGACCATTGTCTGGTTAATCATTTTCTTCCATTCAATCATTCCTCCTTGAGTTTTCTAGAAAATGTTCCTTGTTCTGCTCTTGTAATCTGCCAAATGAATGTGGGCCCCTTTTCATCCAGCATCCCTTTACAGATTTGAGATCATCAGTCCTATCTGCTGTCTCTTTATCTAAATATTCTAATTTCCCACAACCATCTCTCTCTCCAACATCACGTTCTTTTTTTATTTTTGCATGTCACTATTCTAGTTTGTTGATGTCTCCCTTGAGGTGCCATCTCAGACTTGAAGGCAATTCATCAGGTATGATAACATTTAGATTGTGCCTGGGACATAGGTGGGCTCAATAAATTCCTGTTGAATGAATGAATGACTTATCTTTTTCCTATCTTTTGCATTTCTTTGTGTTGAAGTCAATTTGCTCTTCATGCTTGGGAACTAATTCCTCCTATCCTATTCTGCCACTTCCAGGTGAAAAAAAGAAAATGACAGCTGGTCCTACTCCCAGTACATTCATGAATACTTATCTTATTAGGCCAAAGTTTCCTAATACACTTTTACATCTTCAACTGGTGTTATTTTTTTTCTCCCTGGAGAAGGCACTTTCATGGGAAGGCAGTCACTGCTGAGAGGATGATGTCTGACTTCACAAGCCGATCTGATTTTATGTTTACATAGTCTATTTTCTTTTTGTTTCTCTTAGTATTGATTTATTAACATCATTTTTTAAAATGCCAGCCTTTCACAGATACGCTAAAGGAAATTGGAGAAAAAAAAGTTTTGCCTAAACCAGGTCAGATTGTTACCTGATGGTAGTAACCTATGCATGTACCTGTGGAATGGGAGAAACGTTAATCAAAGTGCGATGGAGATGTATGTGGAAAGTGAGACACACAGGAACAGATTTGAGGTCATTTTGGAAAAAAAAAAAAAAAAAGCACTTCCTAATTAGAGATTTTCCTTTCAGTGTTTACCCTTGGATGCTCTGAGTCTCATTTTAATAAGACACATTGATCTCTTCCAGTTCCATAACTCTAGGACTTGTTGGATGCCCTCCCAAATAATACATATGGCATGTGGCCTAGAGGTAAACAATATTCCCTCTTGCAGGGAAGATGACAGGGCAGAGTGTTAGTGGGGAAAAATGAAACTGTACTGAGTTTTCATAATTACATATACAAGAGAAATAAGATGGTATTCACATAAAAGTATGAACTTAGGAAGAACTGGGCACTGGTGGTTTAGATTTTTCCACTATTAAGCTCATCCAAGAGAGTGTGTTCGAGGAGAGATGTAAGGCAACGGCATCATCACCTCTGGAGATGAAAGTAACGGAAAGAAAGGATTGTAACAATAAAAACCTGTAATGGGCTGATTAGCAAATGTAGGAAGACAGCGTGACCACTGGTATTGCCCCATGTTCCTCTCTGTACTTTCCCCCCATACAGAACATTTTTCTTGAGTCATTCTTTTAGTCTTTCTCTTCTGTCACTTCCCTAGACTGGATCTTAACACTCAGATACGTAATTCTTTTCTAAACCTCTATCAGATAACTGCAAGAGTAGAAAGGAAGGAATATACAAACAGGCCAATGAAGAAAAAATAACATTGATTTAAGAGTAATAGTTGTGCAAACTTCTACTGAAGCCAAAATACCTGTGATGAGTAACAATGTTTTTAGAAAAGGTCAAAATCAGTAGTTACTGAGATTATGCTGTGTGTTCTGTAACATTTGGCTTCTTTACTTTGGAATAATGTATATTTTTCATTATTTCAGGGATTTAGGAATGGCAAAAAGGGGAGCTCTAATCTACTGAGTCAGGAGGACTCAGTAGGTTAGTTCTCAGTGGGGCTTGGCATCATGGGGTTTTGTTGGGACATGAGGAAGTAAAAGAGGAGAAGTTAGCCCAGTATGGCTAGAAAAGAAAAAGACTACATATCTATATCTATATCTATATCTATATCTATATCTATATCTATATTTATCTCTAACTATTTATATCTATCCATCCATCTATCCATCTATCTATCTCTCATGTCAGACCAAGGCCAGCTCTAGTTCACAGTTCCACCCCAGTAACCCAGTTAGTTCAGTTAGTTATATAAGAACTAGGCAGGGTCCCAGTGCAGGTGATGCTAAGTGTATAGTCTCTATTAGAGAACTATCGCTGCCAACAGAGCTTGTTTCTCTGTGAAGACAAAAGGGCATAATGCTCCATATCTTCTGGCATCATTCTTTTGTCCTCTCACAGGGCCTGGCCCCACCACCAAATGAGCCACGAGAATGCACGTGCACATACAACACATCACACATTATGTCTTTTATCACAGAGCAGCCAGACAAAAACAGCAGGAGGGGATCCACTCTGAATGGGAACCCTTCCAGCTGAGATTAAATAATTATATCTTGCATGATCAAGATTTGAACCCAGAACTTATGATTCAAAATCTTATGCTCTGGTTTTCATGTAGCAATCATTGGTTTGGGGAGCTATCAATCATTGAGAGTTTCGAAAGTGTCAGGAAGGAAAATTTTTGAAAGAAGACTATCTCTTTGCTTTTCAGGTAAAATTGACCAGTTGAGTTAAAGTGAATGCTCTCTGAGGTGTCTGGTAGATCTTCCAGAGTGGTCCTGAGTAAAAGTCTCATCATGTTGTGTACATGAACCAATTGGTTATGTCCTAGTTAAAAGAAAATCATTAGTTTATCCATGGAATTAAGTGAATTATGGAAAGAATATCTAGTTTTTTAAAGAGAAATAATAGCATAAGATTTTGAATCATAAGTTCTAGGTTCAAATCTTGATCATGCAATTATTGATGTATAAGAATATACAACTTACTTAAACTGTCTCAGGGTCACTGAATTTCTTTACCTACAAAATTGAGATTATGATACCAACTCTCACATGTATTTTATGAATTTCAAATGAAATATTGTGTGTGCATTTTCTTGAAATAGAAATTCTCTGCAAATGTGAAGAATTGACACTAGTTTAATTATTTTTATTTAATAAGCACTATTAAAATGGTTCGCATCATGTCTTGAAGAGACCTAAACTATCGGAATTTTTAACAAGATTATTGAAATATAATCCACATACCAGAAACATATCCTTTTAAAGTGTAGAATTCAATTATGTTTTGTAAATTTACAGCTTTGCAGCAATACCTTAATCCAGTTTTAGAATATTTTTGTTACTTTGAAAGGATTCTCCATGCCCATCTGAAGTTGCCCCCTGTTCCTACCCTTAGCCCTACTCATTCACTAATCTACACTCTGTCTCTATTGATTTGTCTTTTCTGGACAGTTCCTATAGACAGAATCATACAATATAAGGCCTTTTGTATCTGATTTCTTCAAATTAGCATAATGTTATCAGGATTTGTTCACATTGTGACATTTATCAGTTCTGCATTCCCTTTTGTGATTCACTAATATTTCACTGTATGAATATACCACATATTTATCATTCATTTATGGACATATGAGTTTGTTCCACTTTGGGCTATTAATAATATTATTATGAAAATTTGTGTACAAGTTTTTTTTGTGGCCATAGGTCTTCAGTTCTCTTGGGTATACATCCAGAGGTGAAATGCTGGATATATAGACTATTGGCATTTAGATTTGAATTACACACAGAAGGAAAAAAATTCATACTGACTTATTCATTTCCTTACATGTATGTTGTTTCAAACTCAAAGCTAGATATAAACTCTTGTTTACCACATTTCTATGGTAATGAAACAAAAATGAACGAATGCAAAAAAACTATAGAACCAATAAAATTCTAATAAAGAACATTAATTTGCTCTAACATATTATGTTGTATTTCTGAAACCAAATCATTGATACTAAATTTTATAATAAAATATTTATATTTGTGAGTCTTGTGTTTTACATGGCAACTTGATTCTAGAATTTAAAATATATTTGGCCATCGTTTGAGCCATCTTTCTTACCCTTGTTGTAATCTTACTTCTTTTAAAAATGACTTTTTTGATTTACCAGGATAATATTTTTACTGGCTAAATAATTAAATTTTAAAGAAAAGAAAATAAAATTTTGAAGGAAAACTATCAATCCAAAATGGTCTTCAAATTACGGTTAGAGAATTCTCCAAGGAAGAGTGGTGTTGAATGTCAGTATAACAACCATAACAGGAATAGGTTAATCCCAGAATATGTGGAGATGGCTCTAGATGACCAAATGCCATCACAAGATGTTGTACATATCATAAGAGGGCAAAGGAAGGTGTATCAAAGGAGAAAAGTAGACACTCCTCCCCACCAATGTTGTGGTGTTATGTAAGTCCCACAGCTTAGTCCCAGAACTCTGTGAAGATGAAGATGAGGATAGAAAACTCAAAATTAACTGGGTTTACTTAAAGATAACTAGATTATTTTTTCCTATCATTTGACAGAAATGAAATCTTGGAATAAAAATGAGCTCAGTTTAAAAAAATCAAAGGAAATTACATTTTTGTATATCTGAGTTTGCAGCATATGAACAATAGTTTACCCATTTTGTATCCTCTCCGTGTATCTGAAACCTGCTGTGGCTCCCCAAGAGGTATGACAGTGACATCAATTCTATTATCACATATATCTGGGTGTGAATCAAGGGCCTGAAAATATAATGGCTGGAGCAGAATTACGAGCAGAAGATAATAGGCCTAGTTAAATTCAATGAACGTTGAAAATTATTTGAGCAGTGTATTTCACTTGCAACATTTCACTGACCTTAAAGCTTACTCCTAATTTCACAGGGCTCAGTGAACTAGCTTTGTTTGTTGCTGACTCACTGGGTCCTCTCTCGAATGGTCTCCATGGAAACCAAATGCAGAGAGGAAAGGAAAGCACAGGAAGGTAGCCTAACAATTTCAAGCTTGCTGTTTTGTTTTCCTTGGGTCCTGACTATAGAGCTAATGGCTTAGCATGGCTAAGTAAATATTATTTATACCAAATAAACATAAGTATATAATACTATAAGTATAAACACTAAAAAATACTATTCTATAATAATAATATAAAATAAAAATAATGTATACTATATAATAATACAATACTATATATATAAGTATTCTATGTTATTGATTTTTTTAATTAGAGAAAAAATAAATAAGAACTAATGACATTTTTTTCATTTTCTTCTTATTTCTATGCCTTAGCCTCTCCTGGATTTTTTCTCTAAAACCAACTGCTATTCCCAAATTTTCGAATTCTAGAAGCCAATAAAGCTAAATTTGAATGTCATGTCTTCCCTCAGGCCTACCCCGATATACCCAGATCAAACTAACCTTTCTCATTTGAACCCACTTCAAATTTTAACTGTATTTTTCTTATGACTGACAATATATAATTTGTTGCATTGCTAATTTTATAAAGGCCTCTAATTCATATTTTCCATAGCTCCTAGCTAAGCGTCTTTGTAGATCCTCAATGAATGTTTGCTAAATTAATATATCGGCTAATTAAAATAAGAGGAAACCTACTTATCCCTCAGATATCTTGATGAGAGGCAGAACTCCCAATTTAGTATATTCGTTTCTGTGCACTCATCTAGATATGTAGAATTTTTTCCTCATTTAAAAGAGCTGTTTATATTAATGATCTCTGAGGTCCCTTTTAGTTCAAAAGTTGTGTTTAATAATAATATATAAAAATAAGATATGATTATGGTGCATGTAAGTAAGGTTTTTTTGTGAAGTCTAGTCTGAATGTTTCTCTTTAATGCTATTCACCATTGGCTTCTGAGTGGATAGGGTCAGCTCTATAAGTAATGAAACTGGCAGAGGCCTGAGGGCTGGCTACATAAGGATATCATTTACAAGGAGATAGCCAACTCAATATTAAAAATAGTTAATAGACTTTCAGCTCTGCTCAGGCTCTTGTGCTGAGCCACTGCAGTAGAAATAGACAGGATTAGTGGAAGAAGACATATGGGGCACACTGGGCCTATTCTTGGGGAATTTGCAATGTATGCAGTAGATAAGACAAATACAAAGATAATTATAAAACCTTATTTGAAATCAGACAAGATCAATAGAAGACATAAATCCTGAATTAGATTTCAATCCATTTCTTGAAGTAACCTTGGATAACAGAGAACCTCACTTTGTTCTCACTTTTTCTGTGTTATTTTGTGTATGCTGTTTGGTCTGTGTCTAGTTGTTTCATCATACTTTTTTTTTTTTAAACTTTATGTGACATTTAAGGTCCCATCCACCTCCATCCACTTATAAGGACATTAGCATTTATCTTCTATTTTGATAGAGATGGTTTGTTATTGTGGACCCCAAAGGATTTTTCTTATATTTAGCTGAAAGCGACAGATTTCATTCTATTGGTGTGTGTTATCAAAATTGTTACCTTGTTTAATTATATTGTGTGTGCATGTATGTGTGTGCATGTAGTGTTGTGTGTTTCTTTGTAGGTATTTAAGGTAATTAAATACTCCCTAATGTCATGAAACTTAACTAAGAACATAAAGTGCCTCTAACTTTGGGACTTCAGAATGGTGGGGAGGCGGTTTGTCATGCGGTGTAATACATCTTCACAGCAAGTACTGACGGAAAAAATTAGCAAGTACCTAATTTAATCTATGAGGACGGTCATGGTTAACAGTCCCTCGTGAAATTCACACTGAGTCTCAAATTGCTTACCCTGGCCCAGCTGCTCAATTTAACTGTGGGGTTTTAATTGAGCTTTTCACCATGTGCTGATCAAAGCCAGCTGTCAGGAATGAAATATGATTGACAGGTTCCACTGATGCTTCTTTGAAGTGAGAAAAGTCCACACTCAGAATATGCAGCCACTTAGAGCTTTGACATTTAAAATCCATATTTTCGCTGTTCTTTCTTGTCAATTTCAACCAAGTCTATTTAATTGCATTGCAATTGACAAGTGGCATTTTTTCCACTAACTCCCACAAGAGAGAATAATGCTGTAGGAAAGCTAGTTTTTAGAAGTTTTTTTTTTTTTTTTTTTTTTTTTGGAGCAGGGGAGTTGCTTGTTTGCTTTTTAATACAGTGATTTAGAAAAAAATCAGCCTCACCTCGGAAATGCTGAAAAACTGATGTAAATGAAATTATCCATGAACATGTGTCTGGAAAGGAGGCTGTATATTAACATGTATGTGTTACACTCATAATTAGTTTTTCCTTGGAATAACAATTGCAGAGTGAATCCAAGACATAAACACTGTAACAAGCCTTCTTGCATTGGCTAACTAATCCTCTTTACCTCATGACACAGCTCACAAATGGAAACCAACAATTAAAGGGCAAAATAGCCAAAATCATAATGAGCATAAAAAGCATCTCGTAGAAATGAATACCTTTGAGATTAATTAACTAAAAAAAAATTCTTCTCGATGATTCCCTTTGAGAGATTCTATAGCTGGATGTAAGCGATAACAGAAGTTTTTGTAAATGTGTTTCCTACCAGGAGTTTTCCATTATGCAACTGAAAAAACAATGACCATTTACTGAGTTTTAACAAACGATGTTAATAGGAGTGACTATGGAAAGCACTTGCTTTGGTCAACAGTACCCATCGTACATTGTACATGAGAGGCATTGGAGCACAGCTGGGTTTCAAAGTGAGACAAAATGAGGGCTGACGGCTACAGGACATGTGTGTGATTTTAAGAGCAAGTTGCCCAAGCTCTCAGTCTCATTTTTCTAAACTGTAAAAAGCAGATAATAACAGTAAGTACTTACCTCATAGTGAGAGGTGACAGCGTGCTGGCAGTCCTCACAGCCCTTGCTCGCTCTCGGCGCCTCCTCTGCCTGGGCTCCCACTTTGGCGGCACTTAAGAAGCCCTTCAGCCCGCCGCTGCACTGTGGGAGCCCCTTTCTGGGCTGGCCAAGGCCGGAGCCGCCTCCCTCAGCTTGCGGGGAGGTATGAAGGGAGAGGCATGGAGGAAGAGGCGTGGGCGGGAACCTGGGCTGCGCACGGCGCTTGCGGACCAGCGTGAGTTCCGGGTGGGCGTGGCGTGGGCTCCGCGGACCCCGCGCTCCGAGCTGCCGGCCGGCCCCACCGGCCCCCGGCAGTGAGGGGCTTAGCACCTGGGCCAGCAGCTGCTGTGCTCAATTTCTCGCCGGGCCTTAGCTGCCTTCCCGCGGGACAGGTCTCGGGACCTGCAGCCCGCCATGCCTGAGTCTCCCACCCACTCCGTGGGCTCCTGTGCGGCCCGAGCCTCCCCGATGAGCGCCGCCCCCTGCTCCACGGCGCCCAGTCCCATCGACCACCCAAGGGCTGAGGAGTGCGGGCGCACGGCGCGGTACTGGCAGGCAGCTCCACCTGCAGCCCGGTGCGGGATCCACTGAGTGAAGCCAGCTGGGCTCCTGAGTCTGGTGGGGAGGTGGAGAACCTTTATGTCTAGCTCAGGGATTGTAAATACAGCAATCGGCACTCCGTATCTAGCTCAAGGTTTGTGAACACACCAATCAGCACCCAGAGCTAGGGCTCAGGGTTTGTGAATGCACCAATCGACACTCTGTATCTAGCTTCTCTCGTGGGAACTTGGAGAACCTTTGTGTGGACACTCTGTATCTAGCTAATCTAGTGGGGACGTGGAGAACCTTTGTGTCTAGCTCAGGGATTGTAAACGCACCAATCAGCGCCCTGTCAAAACAGACCACTAGGCTCTACCAATCAGCAGGATGTGGGTGGGGCCAGATAAGAGAATAAAACCAGGCTGCCTGAGCCAGCAGTGGCAAGCTGCTGGGGTCCCCTTCCACACTGTGGAAGCTTTGTTCTTCTGCTCTTTGCAATAAATCTTGCTACTGCTTACTCTTTGGGTCCACACTGCTTTTATGAGCTGTAACACTCACCGCGAAGGTCTGCAGCTTCACTCCTGAAGCCAGCAAGACCACGAGCCCACCAGGAGGAAGAAACTCCGAACACATCCGAACATCAGAAGGAACAAACTCCAGAGGCACCACCTTAAGAGCTGTTAACACTCACCGCAAGGGTCCACGGCTTCATTCTTGAAGTCAGTGAGACCAAGAGCCCACCAATTCCGGACACAATAGGGTTATTATAAGACCCAGATGAGATAAGATTGTAAGGGACTAAGCATAGTGTTCACAGCATGGGAAATGCTCTATAAATCTTAGTTACCACAACAAAATTTTACGTTTTTTTTTTTGGTATTTCAAACATTTCCTGATGGTTATAATTTTAATAAACCTATCAGTTTGCTCATCTAATCTAAGTCCTATTTAATCCAATGTAACCTTTAATCTTGTATTGTTGTGTTAAATTGTTTTGAGAAATTCTTAATTTCCGGTAGTATTTACCAGTAACACTTGTCATTTCTCATGTTTCCTGAGGATTTGAGGCAAATTGAGAACAGGGTCTTTTTCGCTGCTTTTTTTTTTTTCTTACTAAGTCTCTGTTTATATCTACCTATAATTTGTTAGCATAGCTAAAGGCCAAATATACAATGGGTTGACACAGACTGTGTAATTACAATATCTATTACTTTTGTGGGGTCACATGTTCAAAGGTTCAGCATTTCAGTAACTTCATTTGAAGGAAAAGTAATTCTGAGAACTATAATGGGAAACAGAGTCTCATCCAATTTTGCTTCAACCCAACACATTGCATAAGTACAAAATAACATATAAAGTGAGTATTTGAAATTAAAATGAAGGCTTATATAAAAAATTATATTCAAGATTCGATACTGGTTATGGTGGTTGATATTATGTGTCAACTTGACTGGACACTGAATGGCCAAATATTTGGTTAAACATTATTCTGGGTGTGTTTGTGGAGATGTTTTTTATGAGATTGACATTTGAATGAGTAGACTGAGTAAAGCAGATTGCCCTCCCTAACATGGGTGACCCTCATCCAATCAGTTGAAGGCCTGAGTAGAACAAAAACACTAAGAAAGATACAACTTTGGTACTTTGACTGATTGATCTGAAACATGGGACTTCTGCCCTCAGGCTAAAACTTACATCATTGTGTCTCCTGGTGCTCAGGCCTTTGGATTCAGACTGAACTTACACAATCAGCTGTACTGGGCCTCCACTTGCCAACTGCAGGTCTTGGGACTTTTCAGCCTCCATAGTCATGTGAGCCAATTCCTTATCATCTTATTTTATATATTTTTTTTCTATTGGTTCTGTTTGTTTTATGAAGCCTGACTGGCTAACACATTAATTTTGTACTACATGCTAATTTCTGCACTAAGCTCTTTGCATGGATAACATAATTTTATCTTCACAATAACCGTATGAGTTAAGTACTTTTATTGTCCTTGTAAGACATTTGACAAGACTGTACTCAAAGGACCTGTCTAAGGCCACAAAAATGATCAGTGACTTTGTGGAAACTTAAAGTCAGATCTGTCTGACCGCAAAGCCTAGCACATTCTTAAACACTGTCACTAGTATTCTTGAAGAGTTGTTTCCAAAGAAAAAGTTTATAAGTTGAATGCTGATTTTCTTTATTTTTTTATTTTATTTTATCTATTTTAGGTTCAGGGGTACATGTGTAGGTTTGTTATATAGGTACTCTTGCCATGGGGACTTGTTGTACAGATTATTTTGCCACCCAGGTACTAAGCCTAGTACCAGATTGTTGGGGTTCAATCAAGCTGGTGGGAAAAATATTAGAGATAGTTATAGAGATAGACACAAATCTTCTTGGAAGGCTGAGAAGTTTGCATAACTTTGGTAATAGATCTGACTGAAGGCAACCTGGTCCCTTTACCTTTAGCTAAACAAATTAAAGTAGTAACAAAGGAAGGCAGAGCAGTTTACCTAACTACTCTGTGATCTAAGACTAAACTTTGATGTATCCCGGGTGCTTACGTGCTTTCTACTAGGGAAGTCCACAATGTCAATACCCTCTAATGGTGTTGACTCAAGCCTTTGTTAATTAATCTTACTGAATAAATGCGAGTCTCACTAGCTGATCAGGCCGAGTCGCAACTGTTTACAGGACTCAGCAGGGAGTCTGTAAGCAGCTTGGACACACTCAGCTGGACAGGCAAAGCAGAATATCTGTGTGTCAGTGTACTTCATTCATCCGTTGCTGGGTCAGGGGCCTGCAAGGGACAGACCCCGCCACAGCTGGTGCCCCCATATGAGCAGTGCTGCCACATCAGATGGTTACTTTTTCTGATCTTCTCCCTCCTCTGGTCAGCCTCCATCCTCAAAAGGGCCCCAGTGTCTGTTGTTCTCCTCTTTGTGTCCATGAGTTCTTGTCATTTAGCTCCCACTTATAAGTGATGATGTGTGATACTTGGTTTTTTGTTCTTGTGTTAATTTGCTAAAAATAATGGCCTCCAGTTCCACCCATGTTCCTCCACAAGACATGATCTCATTCTTTTTTTATGGCTGCATCACATTACATGGTGTATATGTGCCACATTTTCTTTATCCAATCTGTCACTGATAGGCATTTAGGTTGATTCCATGTCTTTGCTATCATGAATAGTGCTGCAATGAACATTCACAAGCATATGTCTTTACGGTAGAAGGAGCATACCTCAAAATAATAAGAGCCATCTATGACGAACTCACTGCCAACATCATACTGAATGGGCAAAAGCTAGAAGCATTCCCCTTGAAAATCAGCACAAGGCAAGGATGTCCTCTCTCGACATTCCTATTTAACATAGTATTGGAAGCCCTGGCTTGAGCAATCAGGCAAGATAAAGAAATAAAGGGCATCTGACTAGAAAGAGAAGACGTCAAACTATCCCTGTTTGCAGACAACATGATTGTATATCTAGAAAACCTCATAATCTCAGCCCAAAATCTCCTTCAGCTGATAAACAACATCAGCAAAGTTTCAGGATACAAAATCAATGTACAAAAATCATTAGCATTCCTATACATCAACAACGCCCAAGCTGAGAGCCAAATCAGGAACACAACTCCATTTACAACTGCCCCAAAAAGAATAAAATACCTAGGAATATAGCTAACCAGGGAGGGGAAAGAGTTCTAAAACATGAATTACAAAACACTGCTCAAAGAAGTCAGAGATGACACAAACAAAAGGAAAAACATTCCATGCTCATATATAGGAAGAATTAATATCATTAAAATGGCCATATTGCCCAAAGCAATTTACAGATTCAATGCTATTCCTACTAAACTACCAATGACGTCTTCACAGAATTAGAGGAAAACTATTTTAAAATGCATATGGAACCAAAAAAGAGCCTGAATAGCTAAGGCAATCCTTAGCAAAAAGAACACAGCTGGAGGCATCATGTTACCAGACGTGAAACTACATGGGTACAGTAACCAAAACAGCATGGTACTGGTACAGAAAAAGACACATAAACCAATAGAACAGAATAGAGAACCCAGAAATAAAGCCACACACCTAAAACCATCTGATCTTTGACAAAGGTGACAAAAACAAGCAATGGGGAAAGGACTCCGTTTTCAATAAATGATGCTGAGATAACTGGCTACCCATATGCAGAAGATTGAAATTGAATCTCTTCCTTGCACCATATACAAAAATCAACTCAAGATGAATTAAAAATTTAAATGTGAAACCCAAAACTATAAAAACCCTGAAAGACAACCCAGACAATACCATTCTGATCACAGACATGAGCAAAGATTTCATGATAAAGATGTCAAAAGCAATCACAACAAAAGCAAAAACTGACAAATGGGATCTAATTAAACTAAAGAGCTTCTGCACCGCAATATATATATATATATATGTATATATGTGTGTGTGTGTGTGTTTATATATATAGGTATATATATGTGTATATATATATAGGTATATATATGTGTATATATATAGGTATATATATGTGTGTGTGTATATAGGTATATATATGTGTGTGTGTATATAGGTATATATATGTGTATATATAGGTATATGTGTGTGTATATATATATAGGTGTGTGTGTGTGTGTGTGTGTGTGTGTATATATATATATATATATATATATATATATACACACACACACCAACAAAGTAAACAGACAACCTACAGAATGGGAAAGTTTTTTTGCAAACTATTTATCTGACAAAGGTCTAATATCCAACATCTATAAGGAACAAACAAATGTACAAGAAAAAACAAACAACCCCATTAAAAAGTGGACAAAGGACATGAACAGTTTTCAGAAGAAGATATACATGTAATCAACAAGCATACGAAGAACAACTCAATATCAATGATCATTAGAGAAATGCAAATCAAAACCACCATGAGACACCATCTCACACCAGAATGGCTATTATTAAAATGTGAAAAAATAATAGATGCTGGCAAGATTGCTGAGAAAAGGTAATGCTTATACACTGTTGGTGAAAGTATAAATTAGTTAGACCATTGTGGAAAGCAGTGTGATGATTCCTCAAAGAGTTAAAACAGAAGTACCATTTGACCCAGCAATCTCATTACTGGGTGTATACCCAAAGGAATATAAATCATTTTACCATGAACACTGATTTGCTGTTACTGTTTATTTTTATTTTTTTACTTAAAAAAGTTTAAAAAAAAGACGGGAAGGTAACATACTTATCAAATCTTTTTTATATTCAAGATACAATATTAAGTGTTTAAAAAAAAACTAAGTCAATCCTCACCATTAAAGTAGGTTTAAATATTACTATTTTACAAAATTACAATACAACAATTTAAATTAGCTAAGTAACATGTTAAAATCATAAGTTCATACATGTTAAGATGAAATTCAAATCATGTATGTCGGATTCTGTTACCTCTGTCAGCATAAACATTAGTATTCTCAAAGTACAGCATGAGTCTGTTCCTAGAAGACATTTAATAACATCTAATAAATGTATAGACTGAGGTGCTGATCATCAATGAAATGTTTCCACAAACCATTCTTTCATTTATTTATTCAACAAATGAAGGTTTGGACAGTTCTGAACTGTGACTACTCATCTGTCTTATTTTCTTTACCTCTCTGCCTCTAGTTAACTGTTAAAAGTCATGTTGCCAACCTTATTTTGACGTAGTAAGATAATGTTTTATGCCATGATATAAAACTAAAACACAGAAAAAAAAATATGTCTAAGATGGGAAAATTTTAAAGAAAATGACTTGTCAGCTTGGATGTTGAAGGATGAGTAGAAGTTTGTCCAGCAGAGGAATCAGGGAAGGGCATACGAAGAGGGGACATTAAAATGTATTAAGGGCCGGGTGCGGTGGCTCACGCCTGTAATCCCAGCATTTTGGGAGGCCGAGGCGGGCAGATCACGAGGTCAGGAGATCGAGACCATCCTGGCTAACACGGTGAAACCCCATCTCTACTAAAAATACAAAAAAGTAGCCAGGCGCGGTGGTGGGCACCTGTAGTCCCAGCTACTCGGGAGGCTGAGGCAGGAGAATGGCGTGAACCCAGGAAGCGGAGGTTGCAGTGAGCTGAGATAGCGCCACTGCAGTCCGGCCTGGGCGAAAGAGCGAGACTCCGTCTCAAAAAAAAAAAAAAAAGAAAGTATTAAGTCACAGAACTGTGAATGAATCTATTTTAAATGTTTTTAGGTCTTCTCTAAAATCTGCACAGAATTAATCATTTCTGCCTTCATTTTGCTTTTCTAAATTTTATATACTTTCATTAAATATTTATCACATATTATTTTAATTATTTCTATATCTGCCTCCCATCCTTAGCTATGAGCTTCATAAGAATAAGACACACAGATCTTTGTAACTCCAGTGTTTAAATATACCACTTCATATTTTTATTCATACATTGATTTGTTCTTTCAATAAACCAGTATCTATTTAATACATATTATGTTAAACACTGAATGGCAAGAAGAAGAGAGATGGGGTGTTGCTGGGGGAACTTATGGCTTTGAGGAAACTAAAGAGATAGGTTTGTTTTGATTATTAATTCTGCAGATAAGGTACTGAATTGTTTTAATTCAACCTATATGCAACAAACAATTATTGAAGATCCAAAAGAAACAGAGTAGTAGTATGTGGTTTGCATTGTGGAAAGATACTACGTTAGGATGTGAATGAATTATGACCATATTTCTTAGGACCTCTGTCCACATCTCCTCAGCCTATTCTAGAAGTTACCTTCAGAGAGTTTCTTTATGTGTTAAGGGATCCTAAATTGTGGTTATTAGAGGCTTGGAAGGGGAAGGGAAAATGTAGGATAAGAAAAGGTTGGTTGATAGATATAAAGTTACAGCTAGATGGGAGGGAGAAGTTCTAGTGTTCTACAGCACAATAGGGTAAATATGGTCAACAATAATTTACGATATGCTTTCAAAAAGCTAGAAGAGAGGATTTTGAAAGTTCACAACACAAAGAAATGATAAATGTTTGAGGTGATGGATATGCTAATTACCCTGATTGGATCATTACACGTTGTGCACACATATTGAAAATCACTCTGTATCCCATAAATGTAAAATTATTGTGTGTCAACTGAAAATAAAAGGGGAGGAAATTGAAATATATATGTAATATTTAAGTGAAAAAAGCCAATTTCAGTTGAATTGTATTAATAAAAGTTCAAAGCTTTGCAAAGAAGGGTTACAAACATAGGTGTTTAGGGACACAGACATAGCAGGTGAAATGCAAATAACATCAAGGGAATAATACACACAAAACTCTAGAGAATGATAACTTCTAGAGAGAAAGAAGGATGTGTGATCAGGCCAAGGTCTACGGAGAACTTCCAAGGCACTAGCATTACTCTTTTTTTTTATACTAGGTAATGGGATGCATGTGTTCATTGTATCATTGTATCACAGTTCCTTATATTTTACATATTTTTCATGAGTATTATTTTCTAAATGTTTAATATTTAATAAAAATATTTTTTAAAAACAGACATCCAACAGGACAATAAAGAATGGCTTTTTGATGGTATCATTATTATAGGTTATTAGCAAAACAGTAATTAAAATAATAATTTTAAACAGAATGTAAAATAAAGGAATGATATATAGTAGGCTCAATTGTTTCTCACCAATGTAGCACTCCAACAATAACAAGTATTATTGCCCCTCTTACCCTAAGTGAACCAATACAACATATAATGTAATAATGCTATTCTCTTAGCTTGACTAGTTATTTTTGCAAAGGTGGAGTCAGTATCCTTGACCAAAAGTAATTGCAAATTTAGTGACCGAAAACATGATTTCTGACTGGTTATTCATTCATTTCAATCAATTTGATTTAGAACAAACCAGCAGGGGACTTGAGAGGGCAGGAAATAAACAGAACAGGTCCCAACACCTGTGAACACTCCTTTGAAAACTCCTCTTCACAATCCTCCCCTGCCATGTCAGCGGCCATCACCTTAGCTTCACTTTTAGTGTCCACATCATAAGTTTTCACTTTGGATGCTCCCATCATAGTTTTGTGCTCTTGGGACTATATGTAAAACAAAACACCTAAATGAAACTCAGAACAGGCATCAGTTTCGTAAAAAAAATTAGAAAAGAGCAAAAAGGAACAGTGACTGGAGAATACAGGAGTGTCTTGCAAAAAAAAAAATTGGGGGAGAACAAAGAAGCCTTTAAAGAAACTAGAATCCACTTGGCATCAGGTCCTGGATGCCCCTCTTAGACCATGCTTGAACCCACTGTCTCAGGAAAGGCTATGCTGGAGCCTGTTCTGCTCAAAACATCCTCTGATCCTCCGCTTCAATATTCTTGTTCTTCTCTGGCCTCCCTGGTCTCGACACTTGATTTTTTTGTCTTGCTTTGCCCCTGTGGGTTAAATATTCTTCTGGATTGTCTACCTGGTTTGAGGTTTTCCCTTTCACAGTTTTTCTCAAGTTCTTCTCACACTACCCCTTAGATTATAGAACACAGAAAAATCTCAGCTCACCCTCACACCCAACTTGGGCCTGCACGCCTCCAGGTTGGGGCTGGCATTCTAGGCTCCTGCTTAGGTGGAAAGAGAACTCAGACACTACCTGGAGACCTAAGAACAGCATCTCTCAGAACGGCTGGGACAAGCAGAGAAGTCAACTTGTTTAAGGAGATAGGGATATAGTTTTTTTATTCAAGACATCAAGTCCAATGAACAAAGAACTGAGCTGGAGAAGAACCCTGAAAACAGAAGGCACACTAAATTTTATTTTTTCCTGCAAAGGCATTTAGTCACAAATGGCAAATAGTTAAGTGATACCTGCCCAAATAATCTCTCACTGCTCTCCCTGCACATATAAAGACTGAGAAGTATGTTGCCTCTCCCTGGAAAATACTCCTCAGCCATTCTTAATACGGAAAAAACAACACAACATTTTCAATCTTCAACACCTTTTCTGTAAGGTCCTTTCTTCAAATGAGGAAAATGCACTCCAGATTTTCTGCTGTATTGTACATCTTGATCATAGCTTAATGATGGGACGTTCTAGTTAGCTGTATGTCTGTTTCTCCAGCAGACTCTGATTTCTGTGCAGCTGGGGTCATATCTTTTTCATTTTGCATTCCTCGCCCTTGCACAGAGTTATTCATCAAACAACTCTGAATGAGTGAAGATTTGAAAAGGAATCAGATCTCATCTTTTATCTTTACAAATTTGTCTGTTTTTACTGACTGTGCAGCTACACCAGTACACTGAGGCATGGGAAGGGATCTTCAGAGTGGACTCAAAGAGGCTTGACAAGGGCTTGCGATTTGGAATAAATTTGAAATAATTTGAGATGTATTTCTAGCTTCCCTTTTAGGCTCTTGTTTACTGGAAAACAAGGGGGAAACAGCACCGAAAGAGGTTTTTAGGAGTTTGCGTAGTGACCAGGCAAACGTTTGTCTCCCTTCCAGGAGCTGTGCAGGCTCACCCACTGGCTGGAGCCATGGATACAGTGTTGCTCATTTGTTCTGGCCGTTTCTTTACTGCTCTCTAATTCTAAGAAGTGCAGGTGGGGAAAAAGCACTAGTCTCTGCTTCTGCCCTCTCCTCTTCCATCATCCTCTTTACAGCCCTGTTAGAGCAAACTTCACAGCAACATATTTCCCCAGTGTGATAGGATTCTCAATGAATTCAGTTATGAAAACAATAGCTCATTTCTCATTATTGGCATATTTCAGTCAAAAAATAAAGAAATGTAAGAGGGGGTCCAAAATCGAACCCTTTTAGTCAACAGAGAAGGCAAAGACACCAAACAATGACATCTTGGACCCAGCATTGCCTCTTCGTTGTACTGAGCAAGACTTTCTTTTATTTTTTTTTCGAGATGGAGTCTCACTCAGTCACTCAGGCTGGAGTGCAGTGGCGTGATCTTGGCTCACTGCAACCACTGTCTCCCGGGTTCAACGGATTCTCCCGTCTCAGCCTCCCGAGTAGCTGGGACTACAGGCACCCGCCATCATGACCAGCTAATTTTTGTATTTTAGTAGAGATGGGGTTTCATCATGTTGGCCAGGCTGGTCTCGAACTCCTGACATCAGGTGATCTACCCACCTTGGCCTCCCAAAGTGCTAGGATTACAGATGTAAGCCACCGTGCCCTGCCCAAAGCCAGCCTTTCTAACGTGGGATCACAGTACAGTTGCCCCTGTTTGGATTCCCCTACCTACCTTCGCATCTCATTCACATGCTGCTTCTTCACACCCAGGGCCTGTTTCCAGGTCTAAGCCTGGCAGGCAGGGTTTGGAAGTGATACAGCACACTAGTATCTCTGCTTTACCCATAAGAGACTGCCTCAAGTCCCAGCCAGATGCCTTTCTCTTTATACAACCTCCTTATGGTTCAGAAATAACAGGATGCTGTTTAAATAAATTGGGATGCACCGCCACCACCACCACCAACAACAACAACAAAAAAACACTTTTTGTTTTTCTTTTCTTTTCTTTTTTTGAGAGAATGATTTTTTAAATTGAGGTAAAATTTACATAACAAAAAATGAACTATTTTAAAGTGAACAGATCAGTGGAATTTTGTACATTCACATTCACGTTGTACATAGCACATTCACAGAGTTGTGCAATCATCACCTCTACCTAGTTCCGAAACATTTTCATCACCCCACAGTCAAACTAAAAAAAAAAAAAAAGGTCAATTTCCTCTGTTTTAATGGATTTACCTGCTCTGGATATTTAACAGGAATGGAATCACACAATATGTGACCTATTGTGTCTGGCTTTTTTTTCCACTGAGGATTAGATTTTCAAGTTCATCCACATTGTAGGAGGCATTCTTCATTCCTTTTTGACTGAATAACATTTTTAACAACTTGTAGATGCATAAAAATGAGGGCTTATCCAATGCAGGCATTTGAGGATATAGTCACTGTAGTCAAGATGAATAAATGTCATGGTGTGAGGGAAATGAAGAGGAGGAGGGGATGTAGGAGGATGAAGAAAATACAGATTGAGAAGCAGAAGCTCCAAGCTGTTCTGCCTACTGAGAAGAGTTTCTCTCAATCTCTCTCTCTCTCTCTCCCTCCCTCTCAAGCAGTATGATTTCCTCAAAAGAGCACAGGCCCCAGAGTCACAAAACCAGCTCTAGAGTCCTCATTCTGCCATTCACAGCTTACATGTCCTTGGACAAGTTACTTTGAGTTTTAGTCTCCACACTGTAAAATGGAAATAATAATACCTGTGCCCTCAATTTCAAAAATATGTGTGACAACTAAATAAAAATGGTTATAAGCTATGAAGTGTGGTTGAAGCGCTAGTTACTTATTTCTCTCTACAACTGCTCAGGAAGGAAGCCCAGCTGATATAAGACCTTCCTTAGTGATAATTTCACCTCCTTATTCCTGAGACTGTAGATTAAGGGGTTCAGCATGGGGGTGACCAGGTTATTCAGAATTTGAACAGTTGCATCCAACCACAGGCTGTGGGTAGGCCTCAGGTAAATGAGGACCACTGGCATGTAAAAAAGCAGGATGGCGGTGAGGTGGGCGCTGCAGGTGGAGAAGGCACGGCGTCGGCCCTCGGCAGAGCAGATCTACAAGATGGAGAAGACGATGCCACTGTAGGAGGTGAGGATGAGAAGGAAACAGCTGAGGGGCATGAGGCCCACACTGATGAACCCCACCATCTCCAGGGCTGAGGTATCTGCACAAGCCAGCTTCAGCATGACTGGGATATCACAGAAATAATAGTCCACCTCATTGGGGACACAGTAAGGCAATTGGAAGGTGAGAGTGGTCAGAAAGGTGGCCTGAATGCAGCCAAAGAATGAGGTCCCCATGGCTAGGATGATACATGCTCTGTGGCTCATGATTATGGTGTAGCGTAGAGGGTGACAAATGGCAACAAAGCGGTCGTAGGCCATCACCGTGTACAGGAAACACTCAGTGCAGCCCAGGAAATGGTAGAAGAAGAGCTGGGATGCACAGCCTGCATAGGAGATGGCTCGGCTGTTCCCTGAAAGATAGCACAGCATCTTAGGGGAACTCACAGAAGGGAAAAATAGGTCAAAAACAGACAGCTTGCACAGGAAGAAGTACATGGGCGTGTGAAGCCGAGCAGAGGAGACAATAGCCAGCAAGATGAGCAGGTTCCCCATAAGGGTGAAGATGTAGAAGGACAAAAACAGGACCAACAGAATAGTCTCCAGACCCTCCGTGTGAGGGATGCCCAGCAGGATGAATTCGGACACCACCGAGAAATTCCTCATGGCTGTGAAAACATCCAACCTTGAAAAGGTACCCAAGACACCAAAGTCTAAACACCAATGTCAAGTTCTCAAGCTTTTTGCTGATGAGTGCTTTGGCTATGTTTTTAACAAGGAACAACCTGCCTTCTTATGAAAGGCAAGAGAGAGATCCATGTAAAAAAAAATCAGATAATAAGGAAATGCCTATTTTAGAGTCAGTCTATTCGACTCATGGAAGGGATGCTTTGTAAAGGCAGATTCTTGTCTTCTACAGGATGAGAAGTTTAGAGGCATATTTAAAACACTTTAGCTTAAGTTAGAAGCCTATGTACCATGGATTTATTCTTTTTGAGCATATTTACTATTTGAACTCTTGTGATGTCTTTACATAAGAAACTTCCACTATTCATTGCCCTCTGCAATGTAACAGAAAAATAATTAGGTTAGAAACCAGAAAACTTAATATGAATCCTGGCCTTTCCATTTATTAGCTATACTTGTTAAAACAATTTACATGACGTCTTTCATAGACTTAGTTTCATCATCTGCCAAATGGAAATCATACTTATTATAACAACATCGGTAACACAAATATCCTAGTATTATAGTAAAGTTTATGAAGTATCTGCTAAAATGTCTGGCAAAACTATGAACTATAATGAAAGGTTTTTTTCTCTTTTTCCATAAGTTATTGGGGTACAGGTAGTATTTAGCTACATAAGTACGTTATTTAGTGGTGATTTGTGAGATTTTGGTGCACCCATGACCTGAGCAGTATACACTGCACCATATTTGTAGTCTTTTACCCCTTGCCCCCTCCCACTCTTTCCCCCAAGTCCACAAAGTCCATTGTATCATTCCTATGCCTTTGCATCTTCATAGCTTAGTTCCCTCTATTTTATATATCTTAAACTTAATTCTTTAAGCACTTTCCTTTAATGTGCATATCCTGTAATTATTTGCAAAAAAATATTTTATTAAATAACATTGTTGAATAGATTTAAGATTACATACTCTTCAGATTACATCTTTCTGGACTTGAAAGGTCGAAGATCTTTAACTCTAATAAGAGAGGCTGTTCTGGTTCTTCTTGTTCTTATAGTCATTTCTAAGCTGACTTAAGATGACTGAAATATTGAGAAACAGTATCAGCAAGGAAAGCATCCAATTCATGTTACCATAATGAAGTAAGAAATACAGTGATCCATGTAAAGAAAGGCAAAGAACAGCACTAATGAGGTAGGTTATGTAAGTCAGGAGCAGGGTATAATGCCTGAAAGATTCAGGGATCTCTCATTACTCACTTAGTAATAATAATGGTAACACACACACACACACACACACACACACACACACACGCACACACTCACACCATTTAATGAATACTTACTGTGTTCCAAGGACAGGCTCAGCATTTTAAAATTTGCTGTTTATTTTTGAAGCATACCTATAAAAAGAAATTACTATTATTATTACTGTTCTTATCTATAGATAGGAAGGTGAAGCTTAGAAAAATCAAGCAAATTTCTCAAGCTTGAAAAGCTAGTATGTGACAGATTGGTTTAATTCCATTTCCTGTGCCCTCAATCATTAGGAAATTGTGCCTTCTGTTTGCCTCTGCTTTCTAAGACAGCCTGTCCCATTGCTCGGCAATGACACGCTTTCCAGATGCATTGACATCATTGCTTTATATTATGGTAGGAAAAGTCTTCATGTCCTATTTCCTCCTGGTCGTTTCCAGTCTTGACTTTAGAGCCCACTTGATAAATACTTCATTTAGTTTTAGAGATCACATAACAGGTGTTTTCTATCCCTTTAACACTAGATCTTAGTATCAGCTCCAATACAGGAGCTTTCAAGTTGCAGAGCCACGTTCAACATGGGGATCCCAATCATAAGCTGTGGCAAGTGTCATGGAAAAGCATCTCTAAAGAGAGCGACCAAGCCAGAATGAGTCACCCACATATTACCCAAGAACTGGGCAAAAGTAAAGACAATATAGAAACAGTGACATTCTGGGGAAGAAATGCTTCTGCAGTCTGCCCCGTGTTATTAATTCTAGCCACACCTGAATCGTCTCTCTGAGCAGCGCAGATTCCTGTGAGCTTTCATCTCCTTGGTCAGCAAAGGCAAGAAAGAGAGAATCTGGTTTTGCCAATGATCAGACACCATGATATACTGTGATTCCATAATTTGATTTTTAAGTCCATTTCAGGAAGAAGTCACCAAAGACCAGGAAATTCTCAATGTGTGAACCCATTAGTGTGTGAGGGGAAGAGGCTAACAATGAGACATGGGTAGAAGTTTGAACACTCACACAGTCCACCTGAGAATATAGTCAAGTTTTCCAACTGTTATAACAAGATCTCACATTTACTTTTTCTCAGCAGAGCACAATGTGCTCCAGCCAAAGGAGCCTTAATTCTCCTATTTATAAAGAATCAAGTCTCATAGGATTTGTACAATCAAGACCTGTACACACTCACTCTCTCTGGACTGCTTTCTTGAAAGTTCTTCTCAGATCCCCTTAAGCCCTACTTGGGACTCAGTGATACTTCTGAGGGAGCAATTAGTTTGTCAATAACATTCATCACCCAATCACGAGATAACAGTAATAATATCATTGGAAAGGGATGCTCTAAAGTGGGAAATATGTTCCCCCAAGACTGTTTGCATAGTAGAAAAACACCAGTTTTAACATTAGATCGTTTGCATTGCTATCCCTTTGTTTAGTTGTCTTTTACACCTTCAAGTCTTTGCTCCAATTCAGCTCAATATCATAAGCTCACGATCTCATGATAGTTCGTGTTACCATTTGCCTCATCACTTTTGAAATTGTCTATACATGCCTGTGACTATATGGCTATATCTAATAAACATCACTATTCAAGACAGAAGCCTAATCAGTAGATATTTATTATGCATCTACTATCATGATGTATCTTCAGGTCATTACTCCTAAAGAATAACAGTCTCACATACTGCACACATTGCTGGGAAGATGACTAGTATAAATAGAGGAGCTATAAACCAAAAAACAATAAACTAAAATGCCATTAGTTAATTAACAATCCACTGTAAGCACTTACCATAAACTGTCATGCTAATTTGTTTAATTCGTTGTTACATTTAATCTCCAAATGAAACTTTATAAAGTAGACGGTATTATTTGACAAAGAAACTGAAAAACAGATTAAATAATCTAGAGATTACACAACTAGAAAGTAAATGAGCTGAGACTGTAATCTCAAAGCCAATTCTTTTCAGCACTAGGCTATGCTGAGTTACAGAGATTTGAGTCTTGCACCAAAAGAAGAGAAAGAGAGATTTAATGTGGTCTTCAAATGCTTGCAAAGCTGGTGGGTAGACTCAATATGAGTTATTTTACACAGACTCAAGAATCATGGGCAGATATAGTAGAAAGATAGATTTATTTTCAATGTAAAAAGGAATTGTTTAATTATTAGAAAATGTACATCAATGAAATAAGCAACCTTTTGATGTAATGATCTCATCACTGGAAGTATTCAAGAAGAGGTAAAGAGAACCATCTTTCAGGTATACCATTAAGGATATTCTCAATTTGAATGAATAACATAAATTCAAAAAACTTAAAGTTTTTTCTTAGTATAAAATTATTTGATTTTATTTCCACCATAAAATTTTTCAAAGATACTGACCTAACACAATAAAAGTGGAGCTTTAAATTAATGATGATAATTCAGCTAACCCCTAAAGCAAAAGCAATTATGAATATGTCCATAGTAGTTACAAAAGTAGTTACAAAGTTTACAAAACTATTACCATTGTAATACCAAAGCTGTTGCTGAAGCATTTTTAAAAGAAGAGAAAAGCAGGTTGTGGAGCGTGTACAGATACTGCTCAGATAGGGTCTCAGAGGGTGGACACAGTTTGTTGGGATGTCTTAGTAAGTACATCACATTTTTAATAATAGCTAACATTTTCTGTGGATTTGCTATATACTGGAATTGTGATGAGGGCTCTGTATTTAATATCTTTCAATATTTACCAAAAATGTATTTCTATCTATTTTTTTATAGTAGAAAGCTTAATCTCAAAGAGTTTAATCAACATAACTAAGGTAACAGAGTTGGTTAATGATGGGGTTGTATCTCAAATCCAGAATAATATGACTTCTCCCTTTGTGTTATGAAGACAAATAAGTTTATCACTAATTTTGATTTTCAAATACTCGTTAATAACTAATACCACCTAACATTTGTAGTTGTTCTAGTTTTCCAATACACTTTTCTGTAGTTTTAATTAATTCTTAAGAGCTGTGTCAGGTGGGTTTTCTTAACTCCACTTTACAAATAAGGACGTTAAACCTCAGAGCAATTCTGGCTTTTCTAAAGTTAGACAGTAGAAGAGCAGGCATTCCCAGGTTTAGCTCTCTTTCCACTACATCATCACTGCTTCCCAAAGTGACACCATACAGAAAGCAGCTGTCTCTGGATGAGAGATGAATTATTAATAGATTCATTTGAATATTTGGTTAAGCCTTCTATATAACCTTATGGTTATTACTGTTTTTATCCTGGATTCCTTGACAAGATTATGGCATCAAAATATAATGAGATAGGCTGGGCACGGTGGCTCATGCCTGTAATCCCAGCACTTTGGGAGGCGGAGGCAGGTAGATCACTTGAGGCCAGGAGTTCCAGACCAGCCTGGCCAACATGGTGAAACCCCATCTCTACTAAAAATGCAAAAAATAGCCTGGCATGGTGGCACATGCCTGTAATGCCAGCAACTCGGAGGCTGAGGTCGGAAAATTGCTTAAACTAGGGGAGCAGAGGTTGCAGTGAGCCGAGATCATACCACTGCACTCCAGCCTGGGTGACAGCGTGAGAGTCTGTCTCAATAATAATAATAATAATCATCATCATCATAAGATAAAGCATCAGAGGAACAAACAGAGACAGAGAGACACTTATTTAGCTCATGTTCTGTTTCCTAGGGAAAAAAAATCCCACTGGAAAGTTTACTACTTGTGAGGAAATTTGCATTATATTTGCATCATCTTTGTTTTAGTCTGCTTAATTTAATTCCTTTTTTTTTCCTGCTCCAGGTATTCAAGTAAGTCATGACATAGTCTAGCAACAACTGATTCATCAACTAATCCTTCAGCAAAATTTTCTATTTATGAATAGCAAGCTTAAGTCTAGGCATTCTTGATCCAATGACAGGTGCTTTGTTGTTTCTTGGCAGGATAAGGGTCTGCGGTGAATTGTCAATCATGTTTCTTCCTTTATCTGCGATAACCCAGTGGAGAAGAATTAGGCTGTAAGCCCAAAAATGGAAAGGAGTATAATAATGGCTATTTACTGGGTGACACATATCTGAAGCTGCTATTTTCTTTTCTTCCTTTTGTTCTTCTTCCCTTCCTATCATTTTTTTTTTCCTGGTGGAAAAGTTCTTGGCATCCTAAAAATTTGATGGTTTCTATGGATGAGGTGTGACCCACCTAGTGGGGGAATATAGAACTGAAAATATTCTGCATTTTTATTGGGGAGAGATGGAAATGAAAGCAATATCAGGGACTTGAATCCTTGGAAACGCTCTTGAGTGATTTGAAATCCTCAGTCATCACTAATTCCTAAACAAATTTTCATGCTTCTATCTGATCCCACTCCCACTTTCAAAGCCTGTAACCTGTTGGGATATAAGTCAGGTAACCATAACAGGCTAGAACACTGGACCAGTCCTTGGAATCAGATGGAGCAGTTTGATGTCTAAAATGAATCACTAGTTTCCATCTCTCAATGGAAATGTGAGCCTGAAAGTATTTGGTGTCTCAATCAATATTAAGTCCATTTGGAACCAACTATCAGTTCTTGGAGCTTCAGAAACTATTGAACCCAAATTCAGAATCTCTGCCTTCAAACGTCACACGTCCTTTGATCATGCATTCTAATAGATAGTTATAAGAGAATATTTCTATCTATTCCTCAGATAAATCTGATCTGCTTGAACTACAGCTTCATTTTATAATATCTTCTGCATTTAATGTGTGTCTGTTTAGCCATGGACATTAAGAAATCACAACAGCAGAAGTGCTAATTTTTAATCTATCATAATTGATAAAGTTGTTTTGAATATGTGCAACACTATGTATCTTGGACCAGGGTGGTAGTGTCATTCATATATTTATTTACACCTGAACATTATTATAAGATGATTATTGTATAAATATTTGGTACAAAATGGAAAATATATAGCTGTGTATTAATTGTATCTGTAACATTCATTTTAATGGTTTTATCTATTAGTGATTACAGATTCTCCCAAAATCAGATAATTCAGCTAATTTATTAATAAAGTATTATAATCTTTGTTCTTAATATTCAAAACAAGTAGCTATTTCACATTTTTTATTTTTAAAAGCAAAAAATAATAATACTTTCAATCATAGAGTCTCTGTATGCAGTTGAAGTTGTTACTAACTTAAAATAGATGGTTATAAATACAAGCTATTTTTATGAAAGCCTTAAGATAACCACAAAGAAAAGTCTCAAAACATAAAGAGAAAATAATCAAAGCAAATTGCTACCAAAAAAAAATCAAATACAGGAAGAAAGCAAGAGAAGAACAAGCCAACTACAAAACAAACAGAAATCAATTAAAATGGCAGTGATAAGTCCTCACTTATCAATAGTTATTTTAAATGTAAATGAAATAAATTCTCCAATCAAAAGACAGAGTGATCATTTTTATTTGTCTATTGTACCTCAGTAAAGCAGAAAACATGCTTGTAAGCTTAAGCGTCTTTACCCTAAAAATCCACTGAATGTTAAACTGTTAATTACAGTACCTCAAAAAAGAATTAAAGTGAGTGAATGGATTTCACAGTACATAAACTACACTTCACTAAGCTGTTTTTTTTTTAAAGTGAAATAAAGACTAAAAAAGGCATGGATTCTAAAGTCTATATAGAGCTTGATCGCTGACAAAGTATATATATATACTTTTAAATATATATATATTTAAAAGTAAGCCTGACTATATTTCTATACAATTCCACTTTCAGCTTTATGACTATGCTTATTATTATTTAAGAAGAATTGCCTAACATTATACCCTCATCCCTACCTGAGACTCTGTCTATTTATTGACCCTCACTGCATTACTGAATTCTTCCCCACACCTCACCTCATTTTCATATCTCACCATTAAGGATGTCTGTTTGTTACATCACTTAGTAATAAAAACTGGTTTATGTGCAAAACAAACAAACCCAAACTTTTAACTTTGGATAGACCACAATAGAAAAAAGAATGTTTTCTACCTCTGAAATTCCAAAAAGTACAGTTCTGTAAATGAAGGGTCAGTGAAGTGTGGAGATTTGGTAGATCAGACTACATGGAGGCCAGTTTCAACTATAACATGCAAAGAGTTTGGAAACCATCACTCTCACCATTACCACAAGAAAAAGCTGAACAAACATGATATGGTTTGGATTTGTGTCCCCACCCAAATCTCAGGTCGAATTGTAATCCCAGTGTGGGAGGTAGGCCTGGTGGGAGGTGATTGGATGATGGGGGTGGATTTCCCCATTTGGTGCTGTTCTTGCGACAGAGTTCTCACGAGTCCTGGTTGTTTAAAAGTGGGTAGCACCTCCTTCCTCTTTCTCGTCTTCCTGCTTTGGCCACATGAAGACACCAGCTGCTTTGCCTTCCATCATGATTCTAAGTTTCCCGAGGCCTCCCCAAAAGCTGCTATGCTTCTGGTATAGCCTGCCAAACTGTGAACCAATTAAACCTTTTATTTATAAATTACCCAGTCTCAGGTTTTCTTTTTATAGCAATGCAAGAATGGAATAATACAAAACTCATTTATCTGTACCCTTTAGAAACTGAGAACACAGGTAAATAGTCATTCTGAAATCCTGAGAGACAGGTGACTTCAGAGTCACTGCTGACATTTACAAACCTGGAAGAGAATCTTTGGGATGGAATATAGACAAATAGAAACTTCCTAAACTTAAATGTAAAGATAAAAACAAAAACCAAATAAAAAACAAACACACATTCACATGGCTATATAAAGAATCTCTGGAATGGAAGATAGACCAATAGAAACTTCCTAAACTTAAATGTAAAGATATAAACAAAAACAAAATAAAAAACAAACACATAGGAAAAACAGAGCAGAACATTCAAAACTTACAGGATAATTTCAAACAGTGTAACATGCAATTGAAATACAAGAAAAAACTAAGCAGAAAAATAGTTGAAGTTATAGCAAAAATTTTCCAAAATTAATGAAAAGCACAAAATTACAGATTCAGAATGTTCAAATAACACCAAAAGGATAAATACAAAAGGCCCTACATTTACAAATATAATATTCAAACTGCAGAAAACCAAAGACAAAGAGAAAATCCCAAAAGTCTGCGGGGCAGGAGGGGGAGAACACTTTACCTATAGAGGAAAAAGAATAACAGCATATTTCTTGCCAAAAACTATTCATGCTAAAAGAGATTGAAGTAAAATATTTAAAGTGTTAAAAGACAAGACGACTGGACGCAGTGGCTCATGCCTGTAATCCTAGCACTTTGGGAGGCCAAGGTAGGTGGATCACAAGGTCAGGAGATCGAGATCATTCTGGCTAACACAGTGAAACCCCGTCTCTACTAAAAATAAAAAAAATTAGCCAGGTGTGGTGGCATGTGCCTGTAGTCCCAGCTACTCGGGAGGCTGAGGCAGGAGAATCACTTGAACCCAGGAGGTGGAAGTTGCAGTGAGCCGAGATCACGCCATTGCACTCCAGCCTGGGTGACAGAGCGAGAATCTGTCTCAAAAAAAAATAGACACACACACACACACATACACACACACACACGGAGCTATAAGTTCAGCACAATTATGCTTCAAAAGTGAAGAAGAAATAAGGACTTTCCCAGACAAAAAGAAAAACTAAGGGAATCCATTGCCCACAGATCTGTTCTACAAGAAGTTTTAAGACAAATTCTTCCGGAAGAAGAAAAAGGATACAGGTAAGAAACTCAGATCTATGCAAAGAAAGGAAATGTCAGGAAGAAATAAATAAAAGTGAAATATGTATTTTCATTTTCTTATTAATCGATCTGAAAGATAACTGTTTAAAGTTATGATAGTAACAATTAGGTAGTTAAAATATAGACATAAGTGACATGAATGGCAGCAATGTCATAGTGGATGGGAAGGAATTAGGAATACTCTGTTATAAGGTAACTGCACTACATGTAAAGTGATATAGTGTAACTTGAAGGTGGGCTTAAATTAGTGATAAATGCATATTGCAAACCCCAGAGCTAAAACTAAAAAAATTCTTAAGAAATATGATGGATATATTGAGTGGAGATAAAATGAAATCACACAAAATGCCTGGTTAAAGTGAGAAAAGGCAAAAATGAAAAAATAAAAGAAAAAAATGCAATAAATAGTAAACAGTTGACAAACATGGTAGATATTAACCTAATTTTATCAATAATTACTCTAAATATAGATGATATGGGTCGATAATTTAAAAGTAGTGATTGCCAGAGTGGATTAAAAGCAAACAAAAACAAATAAATAAGACCCAACCACATGTTGTTTCCAAAAATCCACTTTAAATAAAAAGACTCATATAGGCTAAAAGTGAAGGGATGGAGAAAGATACACCCTGCCAAAACCAATCAGCAGAAAGCTGCAGTAGTTACGTAAATTTCAGACAAAGCCAACTTCAGAACAACAACAACAAAAATCAGGAATAAAGTTGAGCATTAAATAATGATAAAAGAGTCAATTTTCCAAGGATGTATGATAATTTTAAATGTATATGCACTTAGGAGAATATCAAAATATATGAGGTAAAAACTGATAAAATACACAGTTCACTGCATGGGTTTTTTTTTTTGGTTTTCTCCTGGTCAATCAGATACTCCAGAAAGCAGATGGACTGTTTTTAAGGAAGGAATTGCTGTGAGTTGGGAGAGGAAGAGCAGATGCTCAGTGACCCTGAGTGGGACTGTGTTAGAGTTGGGGAAGACGGAGGATGGATTTCATTAGTAAGTCTGTGTAGAACAGAGAACCCTCCAGGGGAGCTCCTGGCCTGTTTGAGTGGAAGAATCTTGAGGGAATGGTATCTGCCACTTTTCCTGTGGCCAAGTCTGCTGCTGTGGGGGAAACAAGCACTAGATAAAGGCAACTAATGGGAGATGAGAACAGCTTCTCTCCTGGGCTCCTTGCCTGGACCACCAGTTTCTGAAATTACAGATGGTTCTTTATACTTTCCCAAAACATAAAGCATCAGACTTGAAATGGGGTTTCAACAAATGTGCCAAAATGCCATTTGCTGATTATGAAGACTGACACTTGTTTAGATTCGAGGAATTTACAGTTGGCACAACATTTCACTGTGCAGGAGCCCAAATGGAAAAATAAAACCACGCCACTTTAAAACTGTAGTTGTCTTATTTTAAAGAGGTCAAAAGACAGGTTGATAATTTTTTTTTTGTTTCTTTTAGTTCGTTTAGTTTTTGTTTTAGAACGCCCCGCACTAAGTCCACAAGCCCCAGTCTGGAAGTTGAAGGGTGAGAAAAAAGGAGGTAAACGATAAGCGCTCCGCATAATAAATGTAAAGTCACAGCATTGTGTGCACAGAGGTTAACTATACAAGTTTCACGGTCCTTAAGAAACTATTTTCTGAAATTACATAGGTAGGGCCTATCTAGATGGCAGGCTTGGATATAAGCCTATTTCATGAAAATATTAAGCCTTTACTTTTCAAACTTCAATGTGCATGCATGATACCTGGGAGCCTTGTTAAATAAAGTAGTTCCTGGTATCGATTAAAATTCTGCATTTCTAAAAAGCTGCATTTCTAACAACCCTGTTCCGCAGATCACATTCAGCATAAACAAACTTGGAAGAAAGACTGAGAGATTAGAGTCCACTATGCAAGTCACACAAGTCTTCCTAATACCAGGTAACTCAACAACTTAAAGAAACTCAGGCCTAGTCCACCCACTTTCTGAGTGAAAAGTCACCGATGTTCCTCTAGGAATTCTGAGTGGAACTCGAAAGTGTTAATAAAGTTCTAGTTTAATCCCTTAGTTTTACAGATGAGGATATTAAGTGCCTGAGGGTGAAATCATTTGCCCATCATCACATAACTATTTAAGGGTATGGTCAGGATTCTACAGTGGTATTCTTATTAGTATCCTTTACTTGCTTCATATAAAAGAAGTCAGCCTACAACAGAAGATAGAGGGTCAGGATACCATGGGAACAGTGGAGGCATCAGAAAAGCTGGAACAGAAAACAAGGGACAATAAAACCAATGTAAGTTCAATAAATGAATCTATGGAGGAGTAGACCTCTTGCTAAGCTTTTTTTCCCTACTAAGTTTTATTTCACTAACTTCAGGTCAAATTTCCACAACTGTGTTCCGGTCAATTTACTATCCTAGTTTGGCTTCCCAAAGTGGCAGTACCAAAATATTGTGGGGTAGGGAGACGAGACCACTTTAAGAACCACTGCATTTACTCATCAAAGGGTAGAAATAGTCATTTTAATATTGATACAAGTTATTTTAAGGGACAGCATATCAAATAGGGTCATTTCCACCAGGATAGGGTATATGAGACACAAGGGTCAGGAACGATTACGGGGAGCTCCTTTCTTCCTAATGCGGTAAGTGCTCCAGGTTCAGGTCCCAGGCAAAGCTCCCATTAAGCCCACCCTTCCCTTTACTGCACTAGATCAGGGCCTGACTTAGAGGACACATAGGTTCAGGGTAGGACTAAGGATTGCATTATAGACTTCTTAAGGTGTTTCATGATTAAAGAGGAACATCTCTCTCCAACAGTTATAGTTCAACCCAAGTCTTTCAGGCAGTGGAAGAAAAGACATGTAGGTTGTACAGGCTAGCAAAGCCCAAGAAGAATGAATCAGGAAGGTCCCCAACAGTGTCACCTCTCACAGTGGACCCCTGCAGTCTCTGTCTTTGTGATCTTGACATTACATTGATCCAGATGTTGGCTTTCAACTTCCCTCTAACTCCTCCTACGCAAGCTTACCAGTATGGCCCTGATAAGTATATAAGATAGAAAGTGAACAGACAAAGATAATGCAGAAAATTCTCTAATTCAAGCATTCTCTAACATAAATGCTGCAATCTTTAGTCTGTAGTTCATGTCACCTGTTTTTCATGTTGTTTCCCTGGAAACCCTGGGAGGAACATTACTGCCTATGAATGTTTTGAACTCCCTCAAGAAAGGGAATAGGTTCTGGGACCACTGTCACTTTTCTGAGGGCATATGTTGGGAAAAGAAAGATCATATCCAAAGTGAACCTGGAGCAGAGAAGCGAAGTGGAGTAAGCATCCTTTACTTTTATGGCAAAAAATAAAGAGTTATAATACACAAGAACACATCATCACAGCAAAAGTGATACTAGAGGAAATGACAGTAGCAAATTAAAGGCACTTCTTTTTCTGGATGGTATCTTCAAAAGGCAAAGATAGCAGGATCCACAGATGACTTCAGGAAAGTAATAGCAGCTTTCACAACCGAAGGCATGGTGGAGCCTGTGGTGAGGAAAAACAAGAAGCAGGGATGAAGGATTGCAATTAGAGGCTCCTCCAAACCTCCCAGATCATCTACCCTGAGTTGTGCTTTTATCTGTCCTCAATATCCCTGCTTTTTCTTTTCTTGCTACCCAGATTCTCCTTGAATCTTCTCTGGCCCCAGATACACTCAGCTGCAGTGAGATAACAAACAGCCAGGAGAACACGCACCAAGTCTAGTCTTCTACTCAGCTTGGTACTGAGACAGTAAGGAGAATCAATGCCACTTGTCCTTCTCACAGTTCACACTCCCCATTTGTGTCCCTCTCCCTCCCTACTCACCCACCTACCTTGTCCCCAATTTAATATTTCACCCTTGTCCTCCCAAGAAAAGAACTAGCAGAAAGATTAGTAAAGATCTGAAGCAGGATGGTGGAGGCAGGTGACAATGGGACTCTCTTGTGGTCACCTTCCGCCAGGCCAGGGAAGGGGAAGGAGACAGGCCTTAGGATTGTGCTCCTACCTGCATGGGCACGCATCCAGGCCACGGCCTTCCTTTCCAGAAGCTCCCATTCACACTTCAAGTCCTTACCATTGCTGTGCAGCCAGATCACGGCCAGGATGGTGGCCCAGCCTGAGGAATCCACAAGCTGCACAGTAGATAGAGAGCTCCAGTTGGCACAGGAAGTCCCTCAAAAGGATGCAAAAAGCTTCACTCCCTCCTCACTTAGCATCCTTCTAAATGTCACTAGATGGAGTTACCTGGTCTCTCTTTACCTCCAGATACTACTTGCAAGGCATAATGCCAGGCCTTAAACCTCAGGGCAGCAATCCATTGAGTCTCGAAATAGAAAATCCTAAGTTTTAAATCCAGTGTAACCACCAGGACGGTTCTGGAAACCCCTAAGACAAGGCCAGCTCTAGTAAGAGAAACACAGGCAAAACTGCTTTATAGTTTATAAAGAACCTTCATAAGTTTTTTTTAATTGTAACCCTTATACCCCCCCACCAAAGAAATCATGAAAAAATATCAATAAACATTTTTAAGAAAGAAAACTGATTTCATATAGAAGTATTAACAAAATGATTTGCTCAAACTTAGCTGTCTAGCAAACGACAGAAGTGAGACTAAAGGCCAAATATTCTGACTCTAGTTATATTCTCTTATTTCTCAATAGAAAATCTCAGCCATGCAGCAGAAAATTGTCTCCCATGAGTTTTCGCTCACTGCTCCCAGCTTCAGCTTTCAGAGTCAGGAGATCAAGGGAAATTCCTATTTTATATCATGACTTTTAAAACTTGGAAATGGCTATCATGTCCTCTCTGAGTGGTCTTATTTCAGATTAGAATTCTCAATTCCTCCATTTCTTCCTTAAGAGGACTGCTTATGTCAAAGCAGTAAGCATCCCCACGCTTGTTCTCCTAGTCTAAAAACAAACAGCGTAATGATTTTAAAAATATATCTCCTTAAATGGTCTATCTGGAGGTAAATGTACTTATAGAATTCTACAATCACAGCCCATTTCAGGTAACCCTGTTGTCCTCCATTTCTTAGTTAAATATTCTGATTCACACAGTTGTAGTCATCTAAAACCTCTGATTTTCATGTGCAAATGCTCTCTTCTCTACCTGTAGAGTTGGGAATTTGGAACCCAAAACAGTACTTAGCTTTTATTCCTACTATGTTGTTTTTCTTTTTTTTTAATGAAAAGTTGCAACTCATTGTTCAGAGGTTTTTTGGGATCCTGATTCTTTTGACTGATAGTTTATCTCCCAGTTTTGTCATCTACAAATAGGAAAGTCTTGGTCTTTATCTTCATCTAAATCTTCATTGAAACTGTGGACCTCCAGAGAATTCAGAGCCTGGTGGGTCTAAAAATCTGTTTCATGTTTGAAATCAATTCATCATTCAGCGCCATAGGTTTTCAACTAATTTGTACTTGGTCCATGTTCTCATCATTAAAAAAAAAATCAAATTCCTTACTGAAATTCAGATATACCAGGTCTGTTGGTTCACTTGATTCATTGGCCTGGTTACCATTCCAAAGAAGGAAATGTCAGTCTGAAGTTTTTTGTTCCCAGTGCATCTAATAATCCCTGTATCCTCTTCCAAGTGTGTATGAATTATCATCTTAATTACTTTTCTAGAACAGCATTTTCCAATAAAAATATAATGCTAGAAACATATGTAATTTTAAATTTTCTGGTAGCCAAATTTTAAAAAGTAAAAGAGGTATAATTATTTTACTGATATATTTTATTTAACCCAATCTATTAAAAAGTCATCATTTTAACATGCAATCAATATAAAAATAATTATTGATGAAATGTTTTATTCCTTTTTATAAAAGTCTTTGCAATTAGTATGTATTTCCCACCATAGCACACCTCTATTGAATTAAAAATTCAGTTCCTCATTTGTATTAGCCACGTTTCAAAGGCACAATAGCCACATGTGACTAGTGGATACTGTATTGGACAGTGGAATTGCAGAATATCTGAAATTTATTTGATCTCCTTCCACATTTTGAAAGTTTAGAATGATATTTGTCCTTCAGGCTTTTTGCACCTGTCTCATGCCTAACAACTTCTCAATGAGCGTTAGAAGATTTTGTAAGTTACCTTGAAATTCTGGAATGCAATTTATCCTTATCAGCATATTTAAATACATCTGAAACAACTAGGTGGTTCCTAGTAACAACACTTTACCTATCCTGACTTCAGTTAACTTTTGCCAATGTCTGGACCACTTTCATCGGTATGAAGAGGAGCAATAATGAGGTTATTATTGGGGGTTCTCAAGACAGATACTCTTAGAACTGAATCTGGCTCTGCCACTGATGGGCTAGGTAAACTCAGACACATTTTTAGACCTCCCTGAACTTCAGTTTCTTCATCTATAAACAGCAACACAAATGGGATCTACCTTATTAAATTAATGTGTGAAATAAATAAGCTCATGAATATTAACTGCTTAGCACAGTGCTTGGCACAGAGTAATTGCTCACTAAGTATTAGTTACATAACCAAGATGATTGGCAGGGAATACGATTAAAGTGGAAGAGGATTTTTGCTTTCCCTTTGTCATCCACCAGCAAAAAAAACCCCATCAATTCCTACTAGCTTCCCCATTAATCCCTTGATCTTTCTGCTCTAACATGACTGGAAAAACCTTCAGCCTCTATTTATTACAAATTAATTTAGTCTATGACCCCCTATATTTTCCTTCCTCAGGTAGGTCCTGAATCACCTCAATTCTCAATGATGACCTCTCTCTCAAAAACATACATACTCCTTTTTCCATTGAATCTTACCTCGGCAGGCTGTGCAGCCATTATTTCTTCCAAACTCATACCTAGGATCTTGGCTAGATCTTCATTCAGATCCCAGGAACCATTTGCATTTTGGTGGTAAATCAGCTGCACAAGGTGATTCTCTCCAAAGCCTTTGAGGAGAAAGAAAAGAGAAGAATGAGAAATTGTGGAGCTATCGGCACCTCAGCACACTTGAATTTAGGGCTGCTAAATTCAGAGACAGGCCATAGCAAGAATGCAATAGAAAGAAAGTCATCAGACAACATCCAGAAGATCGGTCTTCAAACCCTACTTGTGAAAGGATGACCAGTGGAACAGGGGCTCACAGATGGTGGCAGCAGGGCTCTGCTGGGGGGCGAGGGCAGCCCGCAGGCAAGCTGTGTGAGCTGAGATGGCCAAGGGGGTTTGTTCGACTAGGGGTCACCCTAGACTCCACTGGGATAGCAGGTTT